>NC_000005.10:179221574-179372019 GCF_000001405.40 Homo sapiens | reverse complement strand
AAGCTGGGACTAGCTGGGCTGTGGTGTCTGGGAGCAGTATCTTCTCAGGAGCTTGCAGACAAGGGGATGTGCGTGTTGTTGCTGGGATACCGTAGCACTCTGGGAAGCTTGGCCCAGCTGCTCACTGGCAATGGCATTGATTTTTACCAAAGGGCTGTGCCATCTGTGTGGCCCTGCGGCTCCTGTGTCTGGGCAGGCCTGGGGCCTGGGGAGCAGGGGCTGGTTGCCAGGGGGCCAGAGAGCTCAGCTCTGAGCTGAGCATTGAAAGGGAGGCCTCTGCGGGGCTACAGTCCTTGGAGGGCAGCTCCTCTCTGGCCACCACTCCCTCACTCAGCACTCTCTCTGTGCCAGGCATTGGGAATGGTGCAATCAACTGCTATCCTCACGGGGCACAGCTTCTAGCTGGGGACACCAATGAGGCACACACAAGCCAGTGTAGGTGCTGGCGACCTTGGACAATTGTTGTCATGGCTCTGAGCCTTAGTTTTTTCATCTGTAACATGAGGATGGTTAAAATAGTTCCCACCTCTGAGGGATGTTGAGAGAAATGAGTGAGTTAAAGCATTTAGAATACTGCCTCACATGTGGTCAGTGCTGGACCAGTGTAATGGGGCGAATTGTGTTCCCCTACAATTCAGCGGTTGAAGTCCTACCACCAGTAGCTCTGAGTGTGCATAGATTAGGAGATAGGAACTTACGAAGTCATTAAATTCAAATGAGGTTACTCATCCAATATGACTGATGTCTTTATAAGAAGAGGAGTTTAGGACACAGACACACAGGGACAACCATGTGTGGAAGCTAGGGGAAGGCGGCCACCTGCAAGCCAAGGAGAGAGGGCTTGCAAGAAACCAACTCTGCCAACACCTTGAACTCGGACTTGCAGCCTCCAGGACTGCTAGACAATGGTTCTGCTGTTCTAGTCCCATAGTCCTTGCGGCTCTGTGATGGGAGCCCAGCTGATGAACACACACAGTCGTGCGGCTCTGTGACGGGAGCCCAGCTGATGAACACACACAGTCGTGTGGCTCTGTGTTGGGAGCCCAGCTGATGAACACAAGTGCTAGGCATCGTTGTTAGGTCCCGGGTGCTCAGCCCAAGGCAGCACAGCAGGCACTGGGAAGTCCGGGGTCTGAATCCTCAAGAGGAGATGACCAGACAGGGTGGCTGCAGAGAGAGCGAACGTCCTCCGGAGCAGAGGGCCCTCTGTGTCGAGGGAGTGGCATGGAGCTGCTCCCTGGGGAAGAGGGGGACTCTGCCGTTGCTGGGTGTGGATGGGGTCACCTGGAGGTGGCTCTGCACCTCGCGCTCCTTCCTGGCGTGGGAGTGGAGCCAGTGTGCGGGTGGCGTGTGGGACCCCCTCTCGGTGGGGGCCCGGCCTGCTCAGTGGTGCTGTTGTCTGTGCCATGTCCATCGTTCCCGAGGTTTTGCTGCTACACAACACAGCAGGCACATTCGTGTACAGGCCCTCTCTTGGGTACATGGTCGAGGTAGAAAAATGGGCATGTGGATTGTGAATTTTAATAGGTTTTTCTTTTAGACTCATCTTTTTAATGACATCTTAAAGCAGGGCCCGTGGGGCCTCTGGGCTCAGCAGCTGTGATGGAGGAGGCCCCCAAAGTCCCCCAAGGCAGGTTACTGCAGGAAGGCGCTATGAGGGGGCTCTGAGCTCCTTCTCCATTTCTTCCTATAATATCAATGGGGCTGGGATGGGGGTAGTGCTGAGGGTGAGGCAGACAGGAGACCACCTCTTCCAGCATATGGATAGAAGAAATGAGAAGGGGGCTGGGGGCTAAGAACTGGGAAAAGAGAAACTGCTAAGCTAGGGTCTGTCCCCCACACCTCTAAAATCTGCAGCCAGCACCTGGGAGCCCCACGTTCAAGCCCCCAGCTCTTCTCCCGTCCAGCTGGTGCCAAGCTGATAATCGCCACAGTGGATGGGTGAACCCATGCTGCTTTTTTTCAATGATCTTCCTGCATCAGACCTGGAGCTCCAAGGCAGTGAAATTGGGGATCTCCAGCTTGACCCTCATAGGAGGCCAGCTCCCATCTCCTTCTCCACACTGGGGAGGCTAAACAGAGCAGGCACACATCAGGTGCTCCTTGCCCCTGGGGAAGGCCGTGTGACTCCAGATGACTCCAAAGAAATGTAACCAGACAATTGTCCCTGATCTCTATTCCCTCAGCAGCGCTGGAGAGGACCCTTTTCCTGAGGCCGGGCACTGCTGTCCCAGTTGAGGAGGGACAAATGCCAGGGTTTCGTGTGCACATCCCTGGAGAGGGGTTGGGGCCCCACATCTCTGCCAGGGTTTACGGCCTCTCCTTCTCTTGAATGGATAGGATTGGGCTAGAAATCAGAGGGGACCTGGGGGTGCCACAGGATTGGGCTCCGGGCCTAGGCCTGGGAGAATGAGATGGGGCCTGCAGATGGGGGTTAAAGGCCCCTCCCCCAGCCCAGGAACGGCAAAGGAGAAGTTGGAGAAGAAGAGCAATAATTGAACGCCTGTTATGTATGGACGCTGTGCCAGGCACTGGCAGCCGAGATCTGGGTGAGACCCCTCATGCCCCATCTGGGGGGCACACAGGGGCTTCCTCAAGGTCTGCACAGAAGGTGATGGGCGCTGAGATAGCTGTGAGCCTAGTCCTTTGTGTGTGGGGACAGAGCGAAGGCGGCTTTGGGAGGGGCTGGCCCCTGCACTGGTCTTGCGGGAGTGAGAGGCAGGAGGCCGGCTCCGCTTTGGCTTTGGCTTGCTGCATCGAGGGCTTCCTCTCCAGCCTCAGCCTTAGAGTCACCTGGAGCTGTGAGCCCAGGATGCCAGGAGCTCAGGGCTGGATTCCATGTGATCCAGGTTCCCAAGGGCTCCTCTCACCCATATGCTGCGAGTGGATGTCGGGAAGTGGAGGGTGCGTGCTGGAGCTGTTGAGGATCACCCTGTCCTTGTGCCCTCACTGCATATCCTCCCCATGGCTGTGGGGTGGCACTGGATCTCTGGCCAGGCCAGGTACAGGGCTGGGCCTAGCATAGCAGGGGCACAGGAAGGAGCCCCTGACTCCAGCCAGGGGAGGCACGAGGCTGTGCCTGGGGAGAGGTGCACGGGGTACAACAGAGGCCCACTGGGACCAGTGGCTCCAGGCAGAACCTGGCACATCTGCTCCTTAGCTCATCCATCTGTTCTGCAGACGAGTGTGTGGCCAGGGTGAGGAGGCGGGAGACAAGGCCTGGTTTGGGATTCCCAGCAGTGTCCCTGAGAGTTGGGCCTGAAGAACCTCAGGCCTGTCTTCCCCGAGGCAAGCCACGATCCCAGAGCACAGAAGAGGAGCGGATCACCTCCTGCAGAGCCACAAGGGTGGCTTGGAGATAGCTGCTGCAGGCAGGCCTGGGAACGGCCGTGGAGAAGAGAAAGGCCCAGGTCCTGGCTGGAGGTGGTGACGAGGCATAGCCTGGGACATTCCGTGAGTCCAAGTCCCACCCTCAACCTTGAGAATGAGGCTGGCGGTGCTGTTCCTGGCCAGTCTTGCATCCTCTGCACACACCCGGGGCCGCCTCATCCTCTTTCTCTGCTGCGGGCTGCAGCCTCCTCTCCCAAGTCTGTGCTCTGCTGGGTGCGGGGACCCTGCCTGGGGATGTGGACAGAGGAGGGCAGGTCCCTAAAATACCCAGGCTTTTTGCCCAGCGGGATCCATTAACCTTTTCACTAATGATCTGGACAGCTGAGGAGGCCATCGCCATGAGAGCCTGAGTCAGCAAAGGAGAGCGTTCCGAGGGCTCATTAGAGGAGAAATGCCAAGAGGTGCTGGGCTGGCAGGAAGCAGGGCAGGGGTTCGAGGGTGGGGCTGAAAGCCCTCCTCCCTGGGAGGACCTGGCATCTCGGGCCAGCCTGGAGGCCCCTGGAGAACGCTTGGCCCCGTAGCTAACCTGTCTAGTCTGCTGACCTCATCCATGTCCTCACCCGGCCTGGCCCTTCAGTAATAAACAGTCTCACAGCCACTTTACATCTCAAATGCCATCGCTTTTCAACCCCTTTAGACTTCTAGTCCACAGTATTCGTCACCATCTCAACTGTGCTCCGTGGCTTGCTGGGCGCTCACAGGCTGGGGCTGCCGTGGAGAGGCGGTCTGCAGCCCACGGGTTCCTGGAGCCACTGCCCAGAGCTTCCTGGGCTCTGCACTCCTTGCTGTGCGGGGAGGGGCGGGTTGGGGGAGTCTTCAGGCGGCTGGCTGCTGCCAGCTCCCCTCTGTGTGGCAGGCACCTTCTGCGGCAGGACCCCATGTGAAAAAACCCTGGGCAGGGTGCCCCACGTCAGCCTCCCACCTGGCCCGTGGGACCCCCGTGCCTTGGACCTGCTGCTGGAAGGAGGTCACCACCCCTGCACACTCTGTGGCCTCCTGATCTCCCAGGCAGGACGCAGCCGCCATTACCGCGACACCTTCTCCTGGTCTTTCAACAGGAGGAGTGAGCAGGACCTTTTCCTTTGGTCGAATGGGGCAGAGGGAAGGGGAAGAGATGAGGACACCTTTTAGAATCCTGGCCTGGGCACCTGGGACGTGTGGCATTCCTGTCACGCAGAGGCCTGGAGGAAGGGGTGGCAAGCAGTCCCCTGACCCCAGCCTCATGGCCCAAGTCACGCAGAGGCCAAGCTCTCACCAGCCCTCTCTTTAAGGTTCCGCACATTCACCACCCGAAGTGGGCCCCAGGGTCAGGGAACGAGTGCTTGGGAATCTCTGATTCTCCACAGGATTCCCCCTGGGACCCCCACAGCCTTTAATATTGTTCGTGAATTAATGTTTATAGAAGGGGCTGCTAGCGCAGGCTTTTGCTGACCACTCAGAAGATGCTAGAACTGAAAGGACTGAGATCAACTGGGCCAGCTCCCTGAAGCTAAAGATAGGGAAACCGAGGCCCAGAGGGGCAGGGGCGCTCCTGAGATGATGGTCAGATGATGACCGAGCTGGGTTAGAATGGAAACCCTAGAGAGTGCCTTAGTATAAGCCCGGCTGTCCCATTTAAAGGCATCTACGTGGAGGTCTTAGGCCACACCCTTGTCCTGTGCACAACCCCTGGCCACTGCCCATCCTCTCCCCCAATCTCTGGGCACGCTCTGGACTCCCCTCAAACCCAGCTTGAGCCCTCTCAGAGCCCCTCAGCTTCCACCTGGCTGTTCTGCACTGCTCTCCTCCCCTTCTCCAGCCTAAGCCATCTCATCCATACTCAGAGTGCCTGGCCTCAGGAAAGCTTTCCGCAACCCAGGCTCCATCCGGTGCCTCAGCGGCCTGTCAAACAAAAGCAACAGTGCTCAGCCTCACACCTTAGGGTCAGGAGGTGCAAATGAAAACAGTGAGGCACTCTGTGCAGGAGTGAGCGTAGCAAAGACCAGAGAGAGCAGCGGCAGACTGAGCGAGCAGGGAGGCAGAGACGCGCCCCCATGGGATCTCACTGACAGGGGAGTGGCTCAATCCCATCGAAGACTGGCCGGCAATATCTGTTCAGCTTAAAAGACACATTAGCTTGAACCCACAATCCCACTCTAGGGATTTTATCCTACAGAAATGAGAGCACCAGTGTACAAAGAAGCAAGGATGCTTACTACAAGATTGCTGGTAGACACACAGACACACGCACAACCTGCAAACAACCTACAAATGTCAATAAAAAATATGGGAGTGGCTGAACACATCACAGCTATGGGCTTTTAAGCACCTGCTGGAGAAGGCAGTAGATCTCAGGCTACCATCCTCAATAGACGGCCGCGACGTGTCAGGAAGTGAGAACTGTTGGCTGCTGATACCTATGGAATGATTCCATTTTTGACCAAAAGACCCCTCCACAGTTGCTCACATGTCCATGAATGTGGTTTGTGTCTCAGCCTGGGGTTACCAGGAGGTAAGGGCGGGGCAGTGTCTTAGTGTTGCTCTGAAGGAATTCCAGAGGCTGGGTAGTTTATAAAGAAAAGAAGTTTATCTGGCTCGGAGGTTGACTTGATGTCTGGAAAGTTCAGATTTGGGCATCTGGGGAGGGCCTCCGGCTGCTTCCACTCATGGAGGAAGGTGGAGGGGAGCTGGTGTGTGCAGACCACATGGTGAGTGAGAAGCAGGAGAGACAGGGGAGGTGCCAGGCTCTCACAAGAACTAAAAGAGCAGGAGCTCACTCACCCTGCCCCACACAGGGAGGGAATTCATGGGGACGGGTGCGGGGGCCGGGGTGTCCCTCATGAGTAGAAAACCCTAATAGAAAGATTTCTTTTTTTTGTTTTTTTTTTTTGTTTTAGTAGAGACAGGGGTTCTCCATGTTGGTCAGGTTGGTCTCGAACACCCAACCTCAGGTGATCCACCTGCTTTGGCCTCACAAAGTCCAGGGATTACAGGCGTGAACCACTGCGCCCGGCCAGAAAGATTTCTATTCATGAGGGACACCTGCCCCATGACCCAACACCTCCCTTACGCCTCACCTCCAACATTGACACCAAATCTTAACATGAGATTTGGAGGTGATAAAAGGCCAGCCTACAGCAGGTATAGAGAAAGGCACATGGGGTAGTGGCTCTGAGGGAGACGAGGGAGCCCCCAGGTTGGAGTTCTGAGACTGGACTCTGAAAAGAAGTGGGTGCAGCCACTGGGGCTGGGGTTGGAGGCCAGGGTGGGCCTGGCACCTGGCTGACCTGAGCCAGCTTGCCCTATAGGCCCTGGCCTCTCCACTAGGCCTGGGGTGGTCCTGGAGCAGGGTGGGCTGGCTGGGGTGGTGTGTGGGAGGGAGGAGGCACAGGCCGGAAGCAGGCAAAGCATTTCCACCTTCACCTCCAGCCCCGATTTCCCCGGGGCTGTTGAGTTGGTGTTTCTTGGGATAACAAGCCATGCTGACATAGGACCCAGTGGAAATATGCAATTACCTTGTTAGTTTGACCATTGCATGGACTAAACTGTGCTTCATCCACCCAGATGATGAAACCCTAGCCCCAGTGTGACTGTTTGGAGATAGTCTTTAAGGAGGTGATTAAGGTTAAGTGGGGTCATAAGGGTGTGGCCCTCATCTAATAGAACTCTTGTCCTTATAAAAGAGGGGGCAGTGTGATGGCTCACACCTGGAATCCCAGAACTTTGGGAGGCCAAGGTGGGAGGTAAGATCCCTTGAGCCCAGGAGTTTGAGACCAGCCTGGGCAACACAGTGAGACTCTGACTGTACAAAAAAAAAAAAAAAATTAGCCAAGCATGGCGGTGTGCAACTATAGTCCTGGCTACTCGGGAGGCTGAGGTAGGAGGATCACTTGAGCCCAGGAGGTCGAGGGTGCAGTGAGCCGTGTTCGTGCCACTGCACTTCAGTGTGGGTGACAGAGTGAGACCCTGTCTCAGAAATAAATAGATAAACAAATAAAAGGGGAAAAGACACCAGAGTGCATGCTTGAGCTAAGGCTCTTTCCCTCTCTCTCCCCCTCCGTCTCTCCCTCCCTCTCCCCCTCCGTCTCTCCCTCCCTCTCCCCCTCCGTCTCTCCCTCCCTCTCCCCCTCCGTCTCTCCCTCCCTCTCCCCCTCCGTCTCTCCCTCCCTCTCCCCCTCCGTCTCTCCCTCCCTCTCCCCCTCCGTCTCTCCCTCTCTCTCCCCCTCCGTCTCTCCCTCTCTCTCCCCCTCCGTCTCTCCCTCCCTCTCCCCCTCCGTCTCTCCCTCCCTCTCCCCCTCCGTCTCTCCCTCCCTCTCCCCCTCCGTCTCTCCCTCCCTCTCCCCCTCCGTGTCTCCCTCCCTCTCCCCCTCCGTCTCTCCCTCTCTCTCCCCCTCCATCTCTCTCTCTCTCTCTCTTCTTTCTTGCACAGAGAAGAGGTTGTGTGAAGACATAGTGAGATGTGTCTACAAGCCAGAGAGGCCTCACCAGGAGCCGACCATGCAAGCACGCTGGTCCCAGATTTTCAGCCTCCAGAGCTGTGAGAAAATAAATTTCCGTTGTTCAAGCCACACAGTGTGTGGTGTTTTTTAATGGCAACTCTTGACTAATAGAGCCATTAAACTGGACGATCCAGACTATAAGGATTAACTGCTTTTCTGACTTACTAGAGGCATTTTGAGTCAGCCATTAAAGTAGCATGGGAGACACTTACTATTTAGTAGCCACTCATGCTTTTCTGTGGGGCATGTAACTAGGGTGAAGCTAACCCAGCCCTTAGCTTTCGGGGGTGGATCGTTCGGCCAAATCCTGGCCCCTCAGTGAATTCTTGGCCATTAGATTGGTGCAAGGATGGGCCCCTGGCCCCATCTAGGCCCACTAGATACCTGGGACTCAATATGAGTTGTTGGGGAAGAAGCCTGTTTCCCCTCAGGGCTTGAGGTTCTGAGAATGTGAAGCTGGAGCCGTGGCAGCCCTGTTGGTATCATGAGGACATTTCTTGTTTGAGATGGGATCAACCCATAGGAAGAGGAACAGAGAGCTGGAGGGAAAGAAACTGGGTCCTGAGGACAACATTTCAGCTGTCCAAGGCCAAACTATCCCTGGATTTTTAATTCTGTGAAACAATAACTTCCCTTTTTGCCCAAGTCAGCCCGAGTCAGTTTCTGTCACTTGCCATATAACCATATTTAAGCCACCAGTTCTTATCCACATCTGAGCCCTTGCTTGGAACGGCCCTTTCACGGTCCTGAGACAGGCTGATACAGACAGAACCCCTCACTGATCTCGTGACTAGTTCTTGGCTCTCACCGGTGGCTTCCTGCCTTCCACCCCCAGAGCTGAAACATGGGTGGCAGGCAAGATTGTATCCGGGCACGGTGGCTCACGCCTGTAATCCCAGCACTTTGGGAGGCAGAGGCGGGCGGATCACGAGGTCAGGAGATCGAGACCATCCTGGCTGACACTGTGAAACCCCGTCTCTACTAAAAAATACAAAAAAAAAAATTAGCCGGGCGTGGTGGTGGGCGCCTGTAGTCCCAGCTACTCGGGAGGCTGAGGCGGGAGAATGGCGTGAACCCAGGAGGCGGAGGTTGCAGTGAGCTGAGATCGTGCCACTGCACTCCAGCACTCCAGCCTGGGCGATAGAGCCAGACTCCATCTCAAAAACAAAAACAAACAAACAAACAAAAAAACCGAAAACAAAAACCAACAAAAAAAGATTGTATCCAACCTCAAAGAGCTTTGCAAGAGGAGGACCTGTTGCGGGGAGGCGCATCCGAGCATTTTCCTCCAGGAAGGCAAGCTGAGCGCTGAGTCTCTGTGGCCTGACTTTAATTTAACTGACAACTTAAAAAATCAAAACCAGTGTCGGGGGGCGTTTAGAACGTCTGTCTTCCCTGTTTAATTTCACAGGGATCCTGTTATGGCTTTTAATACCATGTTTCATTTTAAAGAACTGGTTTCATCAAAGCGCGGCTTTCCTGTAACAGGGTCAGGTCCACCGAAGAAAGGCATGTTCATTAGGGAAAAGCGGCCCCTGGCTTGGGCTTAACTGTAGGTTCAGAGAACAGAACGGAAAGCCCACGCCCTCTGGCGATCTCTCACGGTCTGAAGGAGGCGCTATGCGGAAATGCGACTCGTTTCTGAGGAACATCACGCGTGCTCTCCCTCTCCAGTGCCTCAGGTTGTTACCTGTCACCGATGCCCTTCCTCGTTCTCGGCAGGCAGATCCCACCCTCCATCACCTGGCTCCCCTGTTCTGGGCGTGGCTGTGGAATGATGGTCTGCAAAGGTGTAAAGGTTGCCTCACTTGGAAAAGGTGTCTTTGAAGATGTGATTTGATGGATGATTTTGAGAGGAGAAGATTATCCTGGATTATCTAGGTGGGTGCTAAATTGGATAAATGTCCTTATGAGGAGGAGGCAGAGGGAGGTTTGACCCAGACACACACCCAGAAGAGGAGGCGGCGATGTGACCAGGGAGGCAGAGATGGGAGGGAAGCGCCCGTGAGCCAAGGAACGCCAGCAGCCCCAGGAGCTGGGCGAGGCAGGGAACAGATTCTCCCCAAAGCCTCTGGAGGGAGTGTGGCCCTGCAGACACCTGCTTTCTGCTCTCAGACTCACTTCGGACTTCTGCCCTCCAGAGCGGGGAGAGAATAAGTTTCTTTCGGTTTAAGCCCCGCTTAAACCAAGTTGGTGTTGATTTGTTACAGCAGCCACAGGAAGCTAATACAGAAGAGAAACCCATCTAAACTGTCATGCACAAATTGGGTCCTTCGGTGTTGAGAATGAGGGTGGTGCGGATTCCATGACATCCAGAGTGGGAAAGCGCGTGGAGCCTCTGGCGGGGCTGGAACTGGGGCAGGGGAGGCGCCAGCCCTTTCCCTGCTTCAGTCTTGCTTCCTCCTCTCTCTTCCTGGCTTCCTCCCCCACCATGGCTCCATTCTTCTCTATCCGCAAAGAAGGCGATGTGGGAGATGCACAGGGAACAGATACTTGCTTTGGTTCACATGATTTGGAATCATTTCACTTGTTACAAGAACCAGCACTTTCATAATGCGAAAACTGGCAAGTAATGAAACTTCAATGCAGGCTGTGCTGGGCTGCACTGCGGTTCCCCGGGCCTCCCCATCCCTATGTCCGTGCCCTCTGACACATGACTTTGCAGCTTCTCCCTCTAGGACAGGCTGGGCAGTGAGTTTTGCCTGGCCAGTGGTACGTGGGCGAAGTGACATTTTCTGGCAGCTTCTGACCTCACCCATGGGATGAGCTTCCCGTGGGAGCTGCTGCCCCCTCAGCCCGGGCCCCAGAACGCACACACAAAAACCGAGCTGTGAGCCTGAGAATACGTTCTTGCTGTTTGAGGTTGCCAAGTTTTAGGGTGGTTTATTATGCAGCGATATTATGGCAGTGGTGAACCGCTATGGAAACCGGTACCTAGAACAGAATTGGCTTTGAAACCAGAAACTGTTATAGGAGGCTGCAAAAATGATGGCCTGTGTTATGCAGTGGTGAGACATTTGCTAAAAACTGTCACTCGCAGTAAGTTGAAGGTTAGAAAAGGTACTTGGTACACTCACGGCTTTGGGCTGGGTGTGTCCAGGTAGGATGTTGAAGGCATGAGCTGGCCTCTGCTGCCCACAGTTGATATGGAACCACAAACAGGAGACATCTCCGGAAAACACTGGCTGCTTGTCAAGAAGAATTGAGAAGGAAAACAGAGCCTGGAAATTCTGGAACTTTCTGGGTTGGAAAATAAAACTATTTCTTTTCTCTTTTTTGTTTTTTGAGACAAGGTTTTGCTTTGTCTTCTAGGCTAGGGTGCAGTGGCATGACCACAGCTCACTGCAGCTTTGACCTCCCAGGCTCCAGCGATCAACCCACCCCAGCCTCCCGAGTAGCTGGGACTACAGGTGTGTGCCACCATGACTGGCTAATTTTTATTATTTTTAATTTTTTATAGAGACGGTGTCTTGCTGTATTGCCAGGGTTGGTCTTGAACTCCTGAACCCAAGGTATTCTCCCATCTTGGCCTCCCAAAGTGCTGGGATTACTGGTGTAAGCCACTGTGCCCAGCCAAGAAAACTATTTCTAATCTTCAATCTCTCCATCCAATAAAAGATTTCCCACTTAAGATACAGCCTGGAAGAAAATTCAAGTCAATGAAGATATAGCTTGGGGACAAAAATCAAATCAAAGACACAGCTATCACACCTTGTGTGAAGACCTCTGAAAGAATTAAATGATGCCCAGCAGTTACTAGAAAGATCAACGGTGGGTCCTGAAGCAGCTCAGGGGGCTCACAGTACCTGCAATTAAGTGTAGAGAAAGGCATGTCTTGTAATACATTGTGAATATGGCTTTTGGCACACAGCATCCAGTTTTGTTTTTTTTTTTGAGATGGAGTCTCTCTATGTCGCCCAGGCTGGAGTGCAGTGGCATGATCTCGGCTCACTGCAAGCTCTGCCTCCTGGCTTCATGCCATTCTCCCACCTCAGCCTCCCGAGTAGCTGGGACTACAGGTGCACGCCGCCACGCCCAGCTAATTTTTTTTTTTTTTGTATTTTTAGTAGAGACGGGGTTTCACCATGTTAGCCAGGATGGTCTCGATCTCTTGACCTCGTGATCTGCCCCCCTCGGCCTCCCAAAGTGCTGGGATTATAGGCGTGAGCCACCGCGCCAGGCTTACATCATTTTTGAGAGAGCTGTTTTGGCAAAAGCCCACCAGTCTGGACTAAAAGAGACTAACGGTATTTAATGTGGAAAAAAAAATTTGGGGGCCACTGACATTTTATGAACAAGACCCTTCAGCTGCCAGGAAGGGCATATTTTCCAGGGTCCTTCTCAGAGGTGACCAAGGAGAAGGATGGGAAAGGAAGGATCTCCTAGAGAGTAAACAGCCACAGAAAACAATGGATTGAGGCTCAAGTCCCAGAGGGTGAACCTGGAACCTCATCCCAGAACATTCTCGACCCCCAGGGGAGCAGCACCTGGCAACATTTTTCCAACAGGATTTAAGGATTGCTATGAACCAGTGACTGCTATGGGCTTCCTGTCCTTCCCTCCTTTGAATGGGAGTGTTGCTGGGGTGTGTGTGAGGTGTGGAAGGTAGGAGGGGTGAACATAACTTCTCCTTGTGTTCCACAGGTCTCTGGAGCAAGAGAAGCCACATCTGGATGTGATGTAGGATGGGGTATTCTGGACTTCAAGCTTGAATCATGAGTGGTTAAGGCTTTCAGGGTCTTAGGATGGAGTGAGTATATTTTGGGAGCAGGCGTGTCTTCGTCCATTTTGTGCTGCTGTAACTGAATACCAAGATTGCATAATTTACAAAGAACAGAAATTAATTCTCTCACTGTTCTGAAGGCAAGATCAAGGCACCAGCATTTGATGGGGGCTTTTTTGCTGTGTCCTCATGTGGAAGAAGAACAGAAGAGAGAGAACCGATTTTCACAAGCCCCTTTTATCACAGCTCACCCCTCAACACTGTTGCATTGGGGATTAAGTTTCCAACACATGAATTTTGTAGGGGACACATTCAAACCACAGCAGGAAGCCTCTTGAGTAATTGGGTCCAAGAGGACAGTCTGTAGTATATTGTCTTATTGTTTCCAATTCCTCACCCATCCTATATTAGAGCTGCCATAACGGATGATCACAAACTCAAATGACTTAAAACAATAGAAATCTACTCTCACAGTTCTGGAGGCCAGAAGTCTGAAATCAAGGTGACTCTCACAGTTCTGGAGGCCAGAAGTCTGTAATCAAGGTGCTGGCTCATTCTGGAGGCTTGGAGGGAGAGTCTGTTCCATGTGTCTCTTCTGGCTTCTGGTGACTGCTGGCTGTACTAATCAGCCTGGGCTGCCACTGAAATGTCATGGAGGGGCTTACACAACAGAAATGTATTCTCACAGTTCTGGAGGTGGGAAGTTCAAAATCAACATACCATTCAATTAAGTTCCTGGTGAGGGCTCTCTTCCCAGCTTGTAGCTGGCTGCCTTCTTGCTGTGTCCTCAGGTGTTGGAGAGAGCCAGAGTGAGAGCAAGAGAGAGAGGGAGAGGGAGGGAGGGAATGAGGGAGGGAGATAACCCTTCCTCTTCTTATAAGGACACCAGTCTTATTGGATTAGGGCCCCACCCCTATGACCTCATTTAACCTTAATCTCCTCCCAAAAGCCCTGTCTCCAGATACAGTCCCATTAGGGGTTAGGGCTTCAGTATGTGAATTTGAAGGGGGCACAGTTGAGGTCATAGCTCTGGCAACACTTGCTGTTCCTTGGCTGGTGGTGGCATCACTCTGATCTCTGCCTCTGTCACCATATGGCCTTCTGTCTGTGTATCTGTGTCTCTGCATCTCCACTTCTTAGAAAGACACCCATCATATTGGATTGGGGCCACTCTGATCCAGTGTGACCTCCTCTTAACTAATTACATCTGCAAAGAGCCCGTTTTCCAATGAGATCCCTTTCTAAGATTCCAGAAGGACATGCACTTTTGGAGGACCCTGCTCAATCCAGTACACACCCCTCTTCCACATCCACTGTTGTGTGACTTTGCAGCTTCTCCCTCTAGGATGAAGTGTCCCTCCTCACCCCACTCCCACTGGGCTGGGCGTGCATCTCTCCTGGCCAGTGGAACACAGGTGGAAGTGATGGTGTGCTGGATTTGAGCCTGGGCCTTAAGCATGAGGTCTTTATGCTCATCTTTCTCGAAGATTCTGACCTCCTCCATGAGATGGGCTTCCCCAGGAGCTGCTGTCCCAGCACTTTGGGCTCCACATGAGCTGACATGGAGCTGAGCTGCCCCAGCTACAGCCTGGACCGGCGGAGCTGTGACCGCAGGATGGCTCTTGTTCCCTGGGGTAGGTGGCAAGGTAGTTCTCCTGTGCCTATAGCTGATTGATACAGGTGAGAAGGGATCTGAGATGGATAGGCAGCCCCTTCTGAGCCCCTGGTCCCACTGCCCTGCTGGAGTGCAAGCCCTGTGTTGTCAGGACATTTTGTTTTATCAGTTTTATTTTCGCAGCCAAGAATCTAGATTTCTAATCTGAAAGCACCTAGTTTTTAACTTATGCATCTAATTCAAATTTTCAAAGTGACTGTGCTGTCCCAGCCAAACATGCCCATGGGCAGGATTCTGCCTGCAAACCTCCAGCTTGTGGCCTAGGGTGTGACCTGTCTGGCCCTGCAGGTCCCTCTGCTCAGCATCTTCCCCATCACAGGCCCAGCCATCCTGGGCAGATCCTGCTTCTGGGAAGAGAGTGGCCTCCCTTGTGCAGGTGACTTTGGCAGGACCAGCAGAAACCCAGGTTTCCTGTCAGGAGGAAGTGCTCAGCTTATCTCTGTGAAGGGTCGTGATAAGGCACGAGGAGGCAGGGGCTTGCCAGGATGTTGCCTTTCTGTGCCATATGGGACATCTCAGCTTACGTTGTTAAGAAATATTTGGCAAGAAGATGCACACAGAATTTCTGTAACGAATAGGATGGAGTTTTAAGGGTTACTACGAAAAAAAGAAAACTACTGGAGAAGAGGGAAGCCAAACACCACCAAGTTTGAAATCGATTTTATTGGACGAATGTCTCACTTTAAATTTAAATGGAGTCCAACTTCCTTTTCTCACCCAGACGTCGAGAAGGTGGCATTCAAAATGTTTACACTTGTTTCATCTGCCTTTTTGCTAAGTCCTGGTCCCCTACCTCCTTTCCCTCACTTCACATTTGTCGTTTCATCGCACACATATGCTCATCTTTATATTTACATATATATAATTTTTATATATGGCTTGTGAAATATGCCAGACGAGGGATGAAATAGTCCTGAAAACAGCTGGAAAATTATGCAACAGTGGGGAGATTGGGCACATGTACATTCTGTACTGCAAAGTTGCACAACAGACCAAGTTTGTTATAAGTGAGGCTGGGTGGTTTTTATTTTTTCTCTAGGACAACAGCTTGCCTGGTGGAGTAGGCCTCCTGCAGAAGGCATTTTCTTAGGAGCCTCAACTTCCCCAAGAAGAGGAGAGGGCGAGACTGGAGTTGTGCTGGCAGCACAGAGACAAGGGGGCACGGCAGGACTGCAGCCTGCAGAGGGGCTGGAGAAGCGGAGGCTGGCACCCAGTGGCCAGCGAGGCCCAGGTCCAAGTCCAGCGAGGTCGAGGTCTAGAGTACAGCAAGGCCAAGGTCCAAGGTCAGTGAGTCTAAGGTCCATGGTCAGTGAGGCTGAGACCCAGGGTCCAATGAGGCCAAGGTCCAGAGTCCAGTAAGGCCGAGATCCAGGGTCCAGGGAGGTCAAGGTCCAGGATCCTGTGATGCTGAGGCCCAGGGTCCAATGATTCTGAGGTCCAAGGTCCAGGGAGGCTGAGGCCAAAGGTCCAGTGAGGTCAAGGTCCAGGGTCCAATAAGGCCAGGGTCTATAGGGTCCAGTGAGGCTGAGGTCCAGGGTCCAGGGAGGCTGAGGTCCAAGGTCCAGTGAGGCTGAAGCCTAGGGTCCAGTGAGGCCAAGATCCAGGGTCCAGCAAGGCCAAGGTCGAAGGTCCAGTGAGACTGAGGTCTAGGGTCCAGGAAGGTCAAGATCCAAGGTCAGTGAGGCCAAGGTCCAGGGTCCAATAAGGTCATGGTCTAGGGTTTAGTGAGGCTGAGGTCCAAGGTCAAGCAAGGCCAGAGTCTGAGGCCCAGCAAGGCTGAAGTCTAGGGTCTAGCAAGGCCAAGATCCAGTGAGACTATGGTCCAGGGTTCAGTGAGGCCAAGGTCCACAGCCTGGTAAGGCCAAGGTCCAAGGTCCAGTGAGGCTGAGGCCCAGGGTTCTGCATGGCTGAGGTCCATGATCCAGCAAAGCTGACACCTGGTCCTAGCGTGGCCACTGCTCAGTGAGATGGAGGACCAGGGTCCAGCCTGGGCAGAGGCTGAGACCTGGGACCGAGCAAGGCCAAATCCCAGTTTCCAGTGAGAGTGAGGTCTTTCGGAGACATTTGTTTCCCTGCTGCCATGTGTCAGGTGGGTGGAATTATCTGCTAACTTCTGATGAGTCTTGAAGCAAGCTGCCTCTCACTCCCTGTTGATCCCAGGGCTTAGGCTCTTCCTCTGCAGTGATGGCTTGTCTGGGACCACCTGGCTCTGCAGTTCTCAGGTCCAGCCACTGTCTCTCTTGTGCCCAGGAGGATGCAGGAGAGGAGGGGCTTGGTCATTCAGACCAGGGTTGGGTCATTCCTGGAGCCACCTGGCCGGGGGACTCTGCTCTTTCTCAGCTATGCACCTCATCATCGCACAGATTCAAACCAATAAAGGGAAACCAGTGATAGCTCCAATCAGTTCAAAACCTCCATTGTCAATGTCCACTTTCGGTGTGAGAGACGTGCTTTACTATGTTTATGAGGAAGATCTGAGGGTCTCAGGTGACCTCCAGGATAACAGTGCGGCTGATCATGCAATTTGTCTGCTCTATCATTGAAGACAATATTATGGCCAACAGCATCCTTCTGTCTAGGCTGTGTCTGAAATGCCGTGGAGAATAAGGGGTCTGGGGGAACTTCCAATCAGAGGGTCTGTGGAGTGGCTCAGGATGGGAAGAGCCTCAGGAGGAGAACACACTGTGGCACAGACCCATAGGAAGGGATCTTCTGGGCAGCAGCTTCTCATCCTGTAGGCACAGGGTCCTAGGATGCACCAAGCATGGGGCAGAGGCCCTGGGCTCTATAATGATGGGAAATGCTGTGGTCCTGGGCTTTGGGGTGCCTTGAGAACAGAGAGACACTGTAGTCTCAGCTGCCCCAGGAGGCAGGTCAGTGGCCCTTATCACCACTGCAAGCCCTAGATGAGCTGGCAGCTCCCGTCCATAGCAGGCGGCTGGCCGAGGCCAGAGACAGCTTGCAGTGTGGCCCATGCTGAGGGTTGCTAAGGAGTCTCAGGGCTCAGACGGAACTCCAGACAGCCTTGCTGCTGTGGCCTCTCTGAACGGAGATGGGAAATCGCCATGGGGTAACGGCAGCCGCCTCAAAGTCATTCGATTTCCTCTATCTCATTTTCAGAAATGCAATTAGGGAGGCCGGGGCACCGTGTGGGCTCTGGAGCGTGCGTCTGCGTGTCTGGGTCTGTGGGCGTTTGCGGGCTGCAAGTTGGCGTGTGTCTGCATGCCTGCTAGTGCACGTGCATCACCACATGTGTGTGCTGTGGTACGAGTGTGTGCATACAGGCGTGTGCAAGTGAACACTCTCGCCTCTGGGCTCCTGGAGAAGTCACCCATTCAGCACCCTGAATCAGCTTCTGTTCCCTTTCACATCAATTTGCTGGGGAGTCCCCCAGCCTTGAGACGACAGTATTCCCGTGGCACTCCCCTCCAGCCTTGCACCCCTACCTCCCCATCCTCCCTCCCAGCAGCCTGTGCATTCAGACTTAGGTTTGGAAGGCCTTGGGGATGGTCTCTTCCTCAGGTCACTGTCCCTATCTGCAGCCGAAGAGCAGGACCTCTTAATAGGTAGCAGGGGGCCACCGGTGCCACATGGGGACAGGAAAAGGAGCATTTTGGAAAGTTCTAGCAGCTGAAGCCATCATAGAGGTCCCTGTGTGAGACAGCAGAGAAGCCTGGGCTACAGAGGTTCCCCTGGGCTGCCCCAGCCATGCAGGGACCCCTGACCCAGCTTCTCCAACCAACAAGGCAGAGGTGGGCTCTGCAGCACACGGGCTAGAGGCCACAGGCCCAGGGGCCAGGTGGCTGTGTGCAGAACGTGAGGGTCTGGAAACCTCCACTCCAGCTTGTGGATGCCCCATGGCACAGCGGGCCCAGAGGAGCCAGTTGGGCTTTTTTTTTTTTTTTCATGGAAGCCAGAGCTGCATGTTTTCATGGGCAGTCTTTTGCTTTTTTAAATCTTAGCAACTAATTTGAGTTTAAAAATAAAACCCTATAGGCCACCAGTGGGCAGCCCCTTATGCAACACTTAGGATAGGATGCTTGAGTTTGTGAGTGACAGTAAATGACTCCATGACCCTCCAGGCCGAGTGGGGCTTCACGGGAAGATGCTGGACCCCAGAAGGCCTGGGGTCTCAGAAGCCTCTGGACACCCCCATATAGGGTGAACGTTGGAGTCTAGGGGTTCGATCTGCCTTTGAACCCTCAGGGTCTGCCGTCCCTGAGTGTCAGCCTCTTCACCTGCAAGTGGGATGCTGCAGTTCCACCTTGCAGGCAGTCATGAGGCTCAGGGGAGGCAGTTTATGAAGACCTTGGCTAATTCACCTGCAGCGGTGCCCAATGACGGCATCTTTCTGCTCTGGTGGGAGAGGAAACTGCAGGGTCCAGCTGACCCAGTCACCTTTGATCTGGGCAGATGAGGGTGGTCTTGGGGTAGAAACGTGCATGATCCTTCTCCTCAGAAGAGGGCTGGGGACCCCTCAACCAGTGTCCCAGTGAGAGATCTTAGTTCCCAGGGCATTTTGCAGTGAGCATGATCTTGCTTCCTTCCTCTCCTTTTTTTCTTTTTTTTTTGAGACGGAGTCTCACTCTGTCACCCAGGCTGGAGTGCAGTGGCGCAATCTTGGCTCACTGCAAGCTCCGCCTCCTGGCCTCACGCCATTCTCCTGCCTCAGCCTCCCGAGTTGCTGGGACTACAGGTGCCCGCCAGCACACCCGGCTATTTTTTTTTTTTTTTGTATTTTTAGTAGAGACGGGGTTTCACTGTGTTAGCCAGGATGGTCTCGATCTCCTGACCTCGTGATCTGCCCACCTCGGCCTCCCAAAGTGCTGGGATTACAGGCGTGAGCCACCGTGCCCGGCTCCTTCCTCTACTTTAAACTCTCCGCTTAGAACAAAATGCAAACTCCTGGCTGAGACCCACAAGGCCCTGTCTCCTCGACAGTTTCCTCTCTCACTCCATCTCCTCCTGCTCTCTCCTGTTCTCACCACCTTTTTGCTGCGCTGCTCTTGCTTTTCCTGGAGCACAGAAAGCTCTTTCTTGTCTCAGGGCCTCTGCATGTGCCGTCTCTCTGCTTGAGGTGCTCACCGTGTAAGCCACTCTTCCCGGGAAATTCTCTCTGATTAGCTTTTAGCCTAAACCTCCCCCTTCCACCCTCCACCACCTTTGTCACACGTGTTTGATGTCACCTGCCTCTTTTATCTCCTTCATGGCATCTATCTTTGGAAATCGTTTTATTTGTTTGATTGGTCCTACAAATATTTACTGCACACCTACTATGTGCCAGGCTGTGTTTTGTCAATTGCCATATTTTCTACAAGACTTTGGCGAGGTTACCCGTCCAAAGTCAACCCTGGCATCCTACCATTAATGTCCTACCGTACCGTCAGGGTTTGGTTCTAAAGTCAGTGGCGGCATGAAGAAGGCCATGGTCAAAATACTCTGCAAATTTCCAGCGTCCACAGTGTTGTGTTTCTGGCCCAATACTGCACTATGGGTACAGCCATGTACAGGAAGTCATGGAGAGCAGTACTAGCAAAGGTACCGGTGCTGACTCTGTGAGGATCAGTTGTGAGCCCCACATATGTGGTCAATCATTTGATTCTCAACCAGGTATGGTAGCTCACACCTGTAATCCCAGCACTTTACGAGGCCATGGTAGGTGGATCACTTGAGCCCAAGTGTTCAAGACCAGCCTGGGCAGCAAGACCCTGTCTCTACAAAATATAAAATATTAGCCAGGCACAGTGCTACGCGCCTGCGGCCCCAGCTACTTGATTGGCTGAGGTGGGAGGATCACTTGAACCTAGAATGTTGAGGCTGCAGTGTGCTGTGATCATGCCGCTGCACTCAGTCTGGGCAGCAGAGTGAGATCCGGTCTCAAAAAAACATATCATTTGATTCTGAAAACTGCCCTGTGATGAGGTATTATCGTGCCCAATACAGACTTTAAGAAACTGAGGCACGAGAGGTTAACTTTCCCAAGGGCACACGGCTGGAAAGGGGAGTTGAAATAATCTAAGCCAATGAGCCCTGGTGGAGTTCCCCTCTCAGCAACCCCAGGAAACCAGGCTCCCTGCTACCCAGGACAGCTATGCCCACAGGGTGGGGCAGGAGCCCTCCAGCTAGGAGATGGGCCTCATTATTCCAAAGAACATTGGCACTTTCAGCCACCAACCTGTTTCAGGGGCTGCTCACGTCTACCCTCTGCTGAAAACAAATATAAGTCATGCTCAAGCTTTGCTCCAGACTGGGAGGGAGGTGTGCAAGCCCCCTCCAATGAGGAGACAGAGGCAAGCATAAGAAGATGCGTGCTGTGTGCAGGTCATTGTGTGTGGGGTGCCGTCCTGGAGCCGCCCCCTTCTGACTAGCAGGAGAGGAAGTCACTTGAGCCCACGGGCTCAATTTCAGGCATCTAGTGCCCAACGGGGCTGGTCCTGTGGGTGCTCCGTCATGTCAGGGAGGGGTATCGAGGCTGGGGTAGAGGGGGTGGTAGGGAGGGGGTGCAGACTGGAGAGTGCTTTCATGTGGGGGTAAAGGAATGGAGGGGACCGAGATGCCCCTGGGTCCCTGGCTGCAGGGAGCCTGCAGGGAGAATGGAGACGCCGGATGCTGAGCCCAAGGGGACTGGGCCGAGGCTGGGGCCAGGCTGGAGATGGGGCAGTTCTGGGTGGGTGAGTTGGTAAGGCTCTGAGATATCTTGATGCAGGTGGCTGAGGGAGCTGCATTTACGGTAGAATGAACCCAGCGGGTGGGCAGTCATCAGCACACCGGCTCTCACGAGCCTGTGGGAAAGGATGAGATTGCCCAGGAAGCGGAGGGCTCAGGGACCAGCCCTAAGGACTGGCCTTGGGTCAGTATGAAGAGAAAAGGCTTCTCCTCCTGAGGGGTGGCCCAGAGCCAGACCTGTAGAGAGCTGCAGAAACACTGGGCACAGGGATGATTTAGTTCATTTTCAAAAACCCAACAAACTTTAAAAAAATTACCAAAAGGATACAAACATATCTTTTCTTTGTTTCTTTCTTTTTTTTTCTTGGAACCCTCAGAGGAAGGGGACACCATTTTGCAGGGAGCAAAGGTACCAGTTCCTCCAGGACCCCCACTTTCAGTGTCCTGGGATTTGTGTCCAGTCTCGGTGTTTCTGCAGAGGAAGAAGGACCCCTGGAACTGTTGGCAGGAGCAGCTAAGAAGGTCGCTCCTACCAGCGAGAGGAGGGACCCTTCTCCCTTCTGGAGGAGAAGTGGGAAGTGGGGTCCCCAAGGCTGTAGAGATGGCCGGAGCCCCCCAGCCATGCACCCAGAGTTTTCCTCCCACCACGGTCTTCGTCTTAGGGCTTCATCATGGGCACTGTAGCCCTGAAGTCCCAGCCAGAAGCTTCGGTGTCTTTAAGGCCCACATCCTTGATCCCGTGAACTGGGAAGGGTCAGGCTGGACTGGATGGAAGGACATTGCCACAGAGGGTGACCTAAAGGTAATGAAGCCCCAGAGGCCAGGGATCCTGGGGATCTAGCAAGGCCTGGGCTGGGGTCACCGATGGCTTTCCTCAAAATCTAGGAAGTAAGGAAGCGTCCAGACAGGCTTAGAAAAGGCTTTGAACACAGATCTCCATAATGTAATAGAACTGGGCCCTTCACTAGTTACCTACAGGATTTACATAAAAAGAAAGGAATTCTGCATGCTGTACAGATGGTGTAGTATAGGAGTGGGACACAAATATAGCGTCACATGGGAAAAACTTCTTTTGCCAGGCAGGAGGATGCCTGGGACTATGCAATACTCTGATTTGGAAATAAAGACAGAAGGCAATGCTGGGGGCACTGGGGTAGACGCGATGGTTAATCCAGGTTTGTCCCAGTCATCCCTTCACCCACCGCCTGTCAGCAACTGGTTCAGCAAATGACCCAGCCTTGGCCCACAGACCACAGGGGAGACAGCGGTCCTTCTGGGAGAGGGCAGTGCACCTGTGCTTTGGCCATCCTTCTACCTGGTTGGGGCAAAGATGCTAGGCAGGCAGCAGGGCCCTTGGTGCTGCGGTTAAGCTCCGTGGCCACCACACCTGTAGACTTCCGGGTGCGTGAGCTGATGCATTTCCTCATGGTTTAAGCTGGCTGTCTTACTTGCAGCCAGGAGCATCCTGAGGGACCCAAAGGCCTTTCCCAGATGAGGGGGCTGGACAAAATGGCCCCCGACCCCAGACAGGGGCCAGACACAGGTGAACCCAGAGATTTAGACCCCAGCTCAAGTGGCGTCACTGCCTGACACACCCAGATAGCCCCTTTAAAATTTTTCTCTGTTCTCTCTGCTAGGCTGAGCATATGTGTAAGTGGACAATCACAGATAGGCATTAAGCTACATCCTTCCCTGGGCCATTAATGCTTAGACTGAGTCTGAGTCTCCATCTTGCATCTCCATGTAGAAATGTTAACTGAGCCCTGATCCCCAAGCCTCCAAACCTCAAGCACTTTGTCTTCCACTTCCAGGCAGAATCGATCTCAGTGGCGAGGGGATGCCTCCGTGCTGCAATGGCAGTAAAAACAATTGCTACTGAAACACCACCCACGTTTCCTCTTTTGCTGGACACGGCTCCCTATTAAAGTGTGTACATGGCGTCGGGGAGGGGCACGCTCAAGAAACAGCAAGAACCACACTTCCTAGAGGCCACCCAGCCTCCACATTCTGTTCAATCAGCATTCCCTTGACATATGGCTCACCAGGGCCACTCCCGGCCAGAACTCCGCCAGAGCATCTGATGGGACCACTGCACCCGCTGTTTGCCAACAGCAAAGTTGGACAGAGCTGCTGTCCTCAAGGCCCCTCGACAAGGTAACTAGCCCCTCATGCTTGGCCCGCTCTGCACACAGGCACCAGTGAGACTAAAAGAGTCCAGCTCCTTTCCCACAGCCCCTAAGAGCTTGTTTGTCATTAGGGAGGGCACTGAAACCTCACTGCCTCCATCTGCTTGGCAGGTTGTGCCAAGAAAGGTGACTTTGTCAAAGGGCAGGAGACCTTCTCAGGGGCTGGTTTCTGTGCAGACATTAGGAGACAGCAGTGGCTCTCAAATGGGCTCCTGTCTTTAATGAAGTCTGTGCTGACAAATGTGACCTGGAAGCCTGAGCCAGACCAGGGAGCCCGACCCTCCTCTCAGGGCAAGGCAGGGCACCCACCCACTGAGAGCTGTGGTGGGCAACAAACATTCCTCCTCCTTAGTGTTTCTTCTGCCAGGGATGTGGGGTGACTCGTGGCACCCAAGATGACCCGGAAAGGTCCTCACCTCTTTCTGCACCACACAACTTTGGGAAGATTTTAAGGGGGTTGGGTGTGTAAGGCCCGAGCTGACGCTGACTTGTCCTCACTCCTCCCTACAAACACTGGGCTTCTCGGTGAGGGTGACAACTCCAGGTTTTCAGGGATCATGGTGCTGACAATCACGAGCAATAGGCAGGTGTAGGGCAACAGGGGGTGGTGAGGACTGCGGTAAGCTGGAGAGCACAGCCAGACCTGAAGACATTCAGGCTCCAGTAGAAACGAACGCACGTGGCATGTGCTCAACAACACATCCGGCGGCGTTGGCCCAGTGGCCCTTAGTTTTTGTCGTTGGGACCTAGACTGAACATGCAGAGGAGCAGAGAGCCACTGGGGACTTCTATGTCCCGTATTTTACCTGGAAGAGGAAAAGGGGGACCAGAGAAAGAGGCAAACACCAGTAAGGGGGGAGAGGCAAGATTTGAATCATGGAGGTTTGAAGAAGTAGCAAGATTTTTGTTGTTGTTCTTTGGTTGTTTTTTGTTTTTCTGTTTGTTTCTGAGTGGAGGACAAATGATCACGGGCTGGGATGTGTCTGCAAGTCTCCTCCACCTCCCTGAGGGTTTAACTGTGAAGTTAGGTGCATGTGAGCCTTGTTCATCCACCACCCTGGTGGGTGACAGTGGGGGCACTAAAGGAAGGGCCAGGCAAGGGTGCTGCTCCATCCCCAACTCATCCCTGGTGGCAGGGGCACGGGTGATGTGGGAAGAATCAGCTGCCTGGGGTTATTCAGTGTCCAGGAGACAAATTCTTTCCCCCAAAAATATCCCAAAGCAAGTATCCCAAAGTATACAAAATAATTTAGCTCTGTGAACCTGTTAGAAGATGCCATCAACTCATAAAGTCAGAGTTACTCCTTTTCAGGCCTCCTTTCATCCTTCCAATCACATCAGAACAACGACCTCTGTGCTAGTCCATCTTAAGGCTTTTGTAACACTTACTAATCAGCTTCAGCCTTCGGTATCTTTAGCAGGTCAAAGTATCTGGAATTTGATAACATTTCTCTTCTTGTTGTATTTATTTTTAGCAATTATCTTTGATTTATGGAAACATGGTGAGATGCTGGCTTTTCCATTTATAGTAGTGATTTAAAGTATCCTTTAAAAAATTGAAAAAAGTTTTAGGCGCTGTGTAAAGAAATACCCAACCATAGACACGGCAGGAAGGTGCAGAACATGCCCCTTGAAGTAGGGGCGGCTGCTGGTTGGGTTTCACTCGTGTTTCGAAGAGGATGGAAGCGCTGACAACCACAGGAGGAATGCGTCATGGGTTCCAGGACAGCAACTGGCTGGACCCAACTCTGGGCTGCCTAGCTCCCCCAGCCTTCACAATTCAACTCATGCCACCTCTTACAGGAAGTCCTCCTGGATGCCCAGCTCTGGAGTCATCTCTGTGGTATACTAGGATTCCAGTTCCAACTTTCTCTGGAACCAGTTGGGTCATCACAGGTCACGAGAGCAGATGCCTACAGAGAGTGAGGAGAGGCGGGACCTGCCACAAACTGCAAGGTAAGTGCCCATTTAATGGTTGCTAAGCAGGACTGTGGGGCTAGCGTGGCCACATCTTCCAATATCTCAAGAAAAGTTACCAATCTAAATTTCCATGTGACATCTCACCATGCCTGGGAGCTGGATCCAGCCTCGGGCACCCTTAGGTGACACAGAAAGAGTACAGCTTGCAGGTGAAGATGGCTGTCCAGCTGCGATGCTCTCACACCCAGGACCCACAATCGAAAGAACCAAGGACGTGAGATCACAGTTAGAGCCTGCTGTGTAAGTCGTGTTTCCCCCAACGACTGGGACCTCCTGGCCAGCAGGGAGAGGCCTGAGTCATCTCCGGGTCCTCTGCCCCTGGCCAAAGCAAAGACCAAAGCCCTGGCCACACAGACCTGGGGCAGGGCAAATGAGAAAATCAAAGGGGTGGGTGTTCACCCTCTGGGGAAGTGAGGCAGAAATTGGGGGTCCCAGGGCAGAGATGATCAACAGCCTGAGAGGGGGCTCTCAGGCAGGCCCTGGAGAGAGGCCGCTGAGCTCAGACAGCATGGGAGGATCAGGGCCTTGCTGGAGAGGAGGGACTGGGGAGGGGTTCCGGTTGGCAACGGGCTCTAACAGCAAACTGGCCCCAGAATGGGCCCAGGTGTCCTTGGATGCTTGGGTGGAAAAGGTAGGCAGAGCTTGGAGAGGCCATTTCAGGTTGGGGGCCGGGAGTGCAATGGCGGGAGGACAGAATGCATACGTGGGGTTGAGGACAGGTGAGGGCAGGAGCCTGACTGTGCTCATGGGCAGAGAGCCCAGGTCTGGCAGGAAGAGGCTGTGCTGAGGCTGCAGCGGAGGGATGGGAAGGCAGATGGGGGACAGGGGACAGGGACTTCAGAGGAAGAGGAACTGGGGACTGAAGGAGCCTTGCCTCTCTCAGTAAGGGCAAAAGTTGATCTTTGGGGTCGCGCCCTGGGTGTACCCTCCTAACAGCATCTTCTGGCCTTTGCGGCCTCTATTTGGGCATTCGGCCTGGCTCAGACCTTGGACCCAGTAGTCAGTCCCCCCTCCCCTTTCATTCCCTCACCCTGTCCTGCCCCAGAGCACAGAGACAGGGGGATGCACCCCTTGAATTCCAGGGCTGATGGGTGGGACCCGGCACCCCAAGGGCTCTCTAGGTGGGGACGTTCGGCCGGCGCCGCTCCTCGGAGGTTGTGCCCCTGGGGTGGCTGGCGGCGGGGCTCCCCCGGCCCGGCCCGCGGCGCTTCTCTGCCGCCGCCTCGGGGTGTCTCTGCTTCGCTGCGAGCCCGGCACCGCGGCGACGGCGGCGCGAAGAGGGAAGCGGGCGGCGGCGGCGGCCGCGCCAAGATGCGCCGGGTCACCGCAGGCTGAGGCGCCCGCCGTCCCCGCCCTCCCCCTCGCTCGCCTCCCTCCCTCCCGCCTGCCTCCCTCGCTCGCTCGCTCCTTCCCTCTCCCCGCCTTCCCTCCGCGCTCCCCCGCCCGCCCCTCCGCGCCTCGCCTCCTCCGCCCCGCGCCCTGCGGTGCTGCAGCTGCGGGCGGCTCCAGCTGCCCCCAGATGTGGGCTGGGCGGCTCGCGGGGAACTTTCGCGCCGGCTGCGAGTGCGGGGCCCCGGCTGCAGTCCGGCTGCCATGGATCCGCCGGCGGGAGCCGCTCGCCGCCTGCTCTGCCCCGCGCTGCTGCTGCTGCTGCTGCTGCTGCCGCCGCCGCTCCTGCCGCCGCCGCCGCCGCCCGCGAACGCCAGGCTCGCCGCCGCCGCCGACCCCCCAGGTAGGTGCGGCCCGGCCCCTACTCCCCGGGACCCCCGCCGGCCTGGCCCTGTCCCGCGTGCCCCGCCGCCCCCTCCCCAGGCGTCGTCCAGCCTGACTTGGGCAAACTCCGCGCGCCCCGCCCGGGGCCAAGTTGGCCAACTTCGGGGCCGGGTTGGTCGCGCAGGGGGCGCCCCGCACCGCCCCCGAGCGCCTTGGGCCGGGGGAGCCTCGGAGCACTGGCGGCTCCTGAGTCGCGGAGGGTGGGGACGGAGGGCCGGGAAAAGCCCCGCGGCCAAGAGCGCAGAGTCAGCCCCAGCGGGTCCGAGGGGGGAGCCAGGGCGAGGCGGCGCCGGGGCTCGCGTCCGGGGACGCTCCGGAGGAGCCGGCTGCCGAGCGCGTAGCCTTGGGCCCTAAGGATTGGTTGGGGCGCCCCGCAGGGAATCCCCGGAGATCGGAGGGACCCTGTTCCACCCCTCCCAGTCCTCGGGCGCTCGGGGAGACGGGGCCGGCAGCGGGCTGAGCGGGAGCTGGACAGGCAGGACAGGCCGCTCGTGCTCGGGGAAGCCGAGACTCCGCCGCTCCGGAGGCTGGCGGTGAGGGCACTCGGGCGGCAGGGGCCCGCCGAGGGGTCGTGGCACACGGGTAAGGGGGCCAACCCGGAATGGCTTCCGAGCAGCTCCACGTCCTGCCAAGGACGGTAGGTGCAAGGGTCGGGGGACTCTCTGACGGGGTCGTCCCTTCGGGCACGGGGAGGTTCCCACCGAGCCCCAACCCTGAACGGGGCAGGGGGCAGAGCTCTTGGCAGGCAAGGTCTCCGGAGGAGGGAACGGCTGGGGAGTGGCGGAGCCCCGGAGTGGTGGCCCTGTTAACGCCCCTTCCCGGTTGCAGGAAAGCCGGGGAGGTGCAGGCTGGCTTCTGGGGTCGCCTGGCGGAATGCCCCTTCCCTTCGCAGTGGGGCGGGGTCTGGGGGGGCGTGGCTTGCCGGCGGGTCTCTGAGGCACTGGGGCTCCGTGGTCTCCGCCGATCTAACGCCCCTTCCCGTTGCAGGCGGGCCCCTGGGGCACGGAGCGGAGCGCATCCTGGCGGTGCCCGTGCGCACTGACGCCCAGGGCCGCTTGGTGTCCCACGTGGTGTCGGCAGCTACGTCCAGAGCAGGGGTACGAGCCCGCAGGGCCGCCCCGGTCCGGACCCCGAGCTTCCCCGGAGGCAACGAGGAGGAGCCTGGCAGTCACCTCTTCTACAATGTCACGGTCTTTGGCCGAGACCTGCACCTGCGGCTGCGGCCCAACGCCCGCCTCGTGGCGCCCGGGGCCACTATGGAGTGGCAGGGCGAGAAGGGCACCACCCGCGTGGAGCCCCTGCTCGGGAGCTGTCTCTACGTCGGAGACGTGGCCGGCCTAGCCGAAGCCTCCTCTGTGGCGCTCAGCAACTGCGATGGGCTGGTGAGTACGCACTTCTCTAGCTCCTTTCTCTCCGCTGCTCTCGCCTGGGTTTTGGAAAAGGGTTACCTGGGAGTCCCTTGGGAGGGCAAGGCCTGCGCTGAGGACTTTCCGCGCCCTTCCCGTGCTTTAGTGAGCCTCGTGCTCCAACTGAAGGGCTTGGCTGGAAAGCAGGTTGTTTTGACTGGTCTGAGCAGGGGGCCATTTATGCATGGGGAGCGCCCGGGTCTCCAAAAGGCTCAGCAGGCAGGAGCGTGCGCCTCTCTCTTTTGCCTGCCTGAACAGGTCTCTGGCTTGCATCCGGGGGTGGGTCCGTGTATGTGTGTGTACCTTTGTGAGTGTGTGCACATGTGTTGTGGAACGTTGGTGTGTACCTGCATCTGGGTGCCCGTGCACCTGTGTGAACATGTGCGTGTGCCAGTGTCTCTTGTGCACGTATGTGTCTGGGTTTCTGCACATCAGTGTGTTGAGCATCTGTTGAGTTTGTGTCCGTCCTTGTGCATACTGGCGTGATATGTGTGTGGTGGACTTATGGGCTGGCAGTCAGTCTTCCTGTTTCCTTGCGTGCGGGTAATACCAGCCCAGGGAGCTGGCAGTGATGCTGAAATGCCCAGTTAGCCCTCTGCCCCTTGGCTGACCGGGAATCATTGGTTTTTCTGCTGTGGTTTCCTGTTGAACTCCAGCTGGTTCTTTGAAAAGTTGGTTTTCTCTATTTTGAGCTGAGGGGTGCATTTGGAAATGAAGGCTCTAGTGCCCATGAGCTGCTCGATCTTTTGGGGGCAGCGCCTGAAGGACAAGAGAGAGGCTAGGGGATCCCTTTTGAGACTGCCTGCGCCTCTCTAGTCCTGTGACTGGAGCTCTGGGAAGCTCTGCTTCCTGGAGAGGGCAGGAGGGACCGTGGCTCAGCACAAGGGGGCCTCAGAGGAAGCCTGGATCGATGCTGAGGGAGGAGGCTGACATTGGCGGTGCTCTGTCCGGCTGCCCGGGGCCTGGCACACAGCAGAGGCCACTGCAGTTTTCTATTTTGGATTGGGTGTGTGGTGGTCAGGCTGGCTGTGCTGGCCAGACATCTGAAGCCGCCCACCATGGGTTCCGCTCTAATTGCTACTCAGGGAACTCCTGCCCCGAGTGAGTGGCCACTCTCCCAGCCCCCGTGGCCCCTGAGCACGCCCGTACTCGGGCAGCTGAGGCTCATCCTACAGTCTGCAGAGCCGGCAATTACACCAGGGCTCTGCAACCACTGTCATTCTTTTTATGGAGACACAGAAAATATCACTTGTTGCTTTGGAAAATCACTGCCTTTGGCTGGATTTAGTTAGAACTTGGCCATATTGCAAACAACTGTAAATATCCCTGGAGGAGCTGGGTTAAAATGGTGAGCCCTTGACATCGCCCACTGTCTCTGAGGACATCCTGGGCCTCAGAGGTGTGTCCCATTTTACGCTGGAGGTTAATTTCCTAAATGAAAGGAGATGTTTGCTGCGGACTTAGGGTGAGGTAAGGTGGTGGGAGTTGACATGGGGTTGCAGTCTGTTGGTGGGCCAACACCTGTGTACTATGCATTCCTGATGGAGAGCATTTTGGGGAGGACTTGTCACTGTTTCATTCATTCAGCAGTTCATTTGGTGATTCATTTTTCAGCCAGCACCTTCTCATATGTTTATCCCCTGTACTGGTCAGCAATGAGGCAGGTCTGGTACCCACCCAGGGCTCCTGTCGTCAGGGTGGCTGACGGACACTCTGGCCAGGACTTGGAGAGTGTGCTCCTGGGGGGCTGTTTGAATGGGGGCTGGAAGAATGAGTGGCCAGCTGGAAAAGACGCAGGTTGGCAACCCGGGCAGAGGGAGGAGCGTGTGCAGAGGTACCAGGTGTGGATTGGCCTGGGCAGGACAGGCCTGCTGAAGTGTCCCATGTACCAGACAGAGCTGGGAAGAATATTGGGGTTGGAAGAGGAGCTGGGACCTGCCTGAGCGGCATTGAATGCTGTCACTGAATAATGGCCTTGGACAGTGGGACAGCACCATTGGTTCTGTTTTCTTTTTTTTTTTTTTTTTTGAGACGGAGTCTCACTCTATTACCCAGGCTGGAGTGCAGTGGCGCGATCTCAGCTCACTGCAAGCGCTCTGCCTTCCGGGTTCACGCCATTCTCCTGCCTCAGCCTCCCAAGTAGCAGGGACTACAGGCGCCTGCCACCACGTGCAGCTAATTTTTTTTTATTTTTTTTTTAATTTTTAGTAGAGACGGTGTTTCACCGTGTTAGCCAGGGTGGTCTCAATCTCCTGACCTTGTGATCTGCCTGCCTCGGCCTCCTAAAGTGCTGGGATTACAGGCATGAGCCACTGCGCCCAGCCTCTTTTCTTTTCGCTTGTCCTCTTTCTCTTCTCTTCTCTTTCCTTCCTTCCTTCCTTCCTTTTTTTCTTTCTTTCTTTCCTTTTGATCAGGCTGGTCTCAAACTCCCGACCTCAAGCGATCTGCCCATCTTGGCCTCCTAAAGTGCTGGGATTACAGGCCTCAGCCACCGCGCCCGGCCTCTTCTTTCCTTTTCTGACTTTGTTGCTGCGTATGTGTCTGTCCTACTGTTAAATCCCCCTCTGCTGCCACCACGATAGGCTTCTTTGCTAAGGACCTGGGTCTTTACACAGGGCACCTCTTGTCCTCACAGAGCCCTGGTCGGGGAGGCATCTCATCCCTGGTTACAGGTGGAGCACTCAGGCTCTGGGAGGTTGAGTGACTAGACGGAAGTTATTCATAATAATATCCACAGCGAGGGGTTATTCATAGTATCCACAGCAAAATGTCCCTTTGCACAAGGCATGAGCAAAACAGGCTGCACAGAGTGGTGTTGTGCCTCACGTTGCTGCGGAAGAGTTTTCCAGTATCTCCTGGGCAGCGTGGTAGGCGTGCTAATTTCACGTGGTTTTTACATGCCCATTAAAAACCCAGTGAGAAGCCTTTTGGCGTAAAAGGTAATGATGGTAAGTGACAGTTGACTGTGTTCCTATTAACATTGTGTGCCAGGCTCTCAGCTGAGCCCCCTGTGCCACCTCGCCTTGTTTAATCCTCACAGCACCCTACGGAACATATCCCGACATCATCCCCCTTCTACAGATGAATAAACTGAGGCTCCAAAAGTCGAGATAGCTTGCTTCAAGCTTCGAAGCCAGTATTTGAACACAAATCTGATTCCAAGGCCATGCTCACTATGTTTTGTTGCCTTTTCCTGCATGCCTACAAAAAGAATTTTAAAAATGCATTTCTTTACAACATTTCCCACCTTTCTTATTTGACTCCTGGAGACGTTCTCATTGTGGGTTTGACCATCGTCAGTGTGAGTGGAGCCGGGAGCAGGCCTGGGAGCTGAGTGGCCTTGACTGGCTCGTGACCTGCGCTGGGCTGCAGCTCCTATGGGTGGCCTAAGTCCTCACTGGTGGGGGACTGCAGCTGGGACTTCCGTGGGATGGAAGCAACCCTGCCCGCCTCTGCCTCCCCACTCAGGGCAGCACGGGGATCCTCTCCTGCCAGGCTGGGCAGCAGTGGATGAAGCCTCCATGGGCTGGGCGGTGGAGATGGTCCGCCCTCCAAGGCCTGGTCCAATCCTGGGGCCCAAAGGAGGAAGTGTATGCCCTTCCCTGGATGCTTGATGCGAACCCCACAACCCTGTGAGATAGGGCTGCCCCACTGCGTGGCTGAGGCTCAGAGAGACCCAAGGTTGCATGGCAAGAAGAAATCCAGGGCTGCTGCCTTTCAGGCTGGGGCTCCCCTGCGGGGCTGCTGTCTGGGCCAGGCACCCACTCTGTCTTGCTGGACATTAAGAGTCATAAAGGCCACAGAGAGAAGTCAGAAGCCGGCCTAAGGGATTGAGATGAGTTTCATTTTTCCCAGCAAGGCTGCTGCCTTCGAGGCCACACACTGGGCTCCAGCAGGCTCAGGTGCTAGAGCAGATCAGGCAGGTGTGAGCGGGTCCTGGGACTGTGCAGTGGGGTGAGGGGCACCTGAGATTTGCAGCTGCCGCTGGTAGGGTCTTCCTTCCTCCCACCCCACCTTGGCACTGCCTGGATCGCAATGAGAGGTTGTCAGGAAGACTAAAGAGGGGCTGCAGGAACCTCTGGGTTCCCTAGGGTGTCGGGGCTCCCCAGGTAGGAGCAGAGGCTCCTGTGGGCCCCAGCTGCAAGCAGCCTACACAGCTGCTAAGGCCAGTCTCAGCCTCCGCCATACTTGTCACCTTAAGACTTGCTCAGTTTAAGTGACAGAAACCCCTGCTCATATTGGATGAAACAAACAAGGGACAGCATGGCCCCAATTATCTGGGGGTCCTGAGGAGTGTTGGCTTCAGGCCTGGCTGAATCCAGGGGCTCAGAGCATGCTATCCATTTCTCAGCCCTGCCTCTCAGTGTTCATTTCAGAATTGCTCTCCACCCCTCAACCCCCGGCCCACCAGCGGCTCCAGGCCCAACTCGTTTTCCAAGGAGGCAACCTTTGAGATGGAAAGCCCTCCTCTCTGGGTGACACCTGTGAGAGTTGGGGGAGGGATTGGAGGCCCATCTTCAAACCCATGGCTGTGATGCGGGCCTAGCCCAGGTCTCCTGCCCACCTTTGGGACTGAGGGGGAGGGACAGACTCCCAAACTCTGGAATGAAGAGGGGCCTATCATACAAGAAGGGAGGAGAATTGTGCAGGGTGGTGAACACGGTTGTGGCCACCCTTCTCCTGGACTCCAGACCCCATGTTGGGCTTAGAAGTCCTCCTGGGCTCCAGGCTTGCCTGCTCGGCTGCCTCTGGAACCCCCTTCCCTGGATGACCCCATACTCAAGTCACGTGGCTCTCCCCACTCTCCTCCAGACCCCACCCTTCCAGGATCGCCCTCCCCTAGCCAGCTCCAATTCTAGAGCTCTCTCAGGGCCCGGCTTCCCTCCACGCCTGGTGCCAACCCCTGCTTTCTGCTCTTGTACCCCCCACTGCCCCATGGTCTCTCCCCGACAACCCTTCTCCACTCTGCAGCCAGAGGGATTTTTAGAAACCATGCAGCAACTCATGTCACGCCTTCACTTAAGACCTCTCAGTGGTTCTTACTGCTCTTAAAAACATCCAAACCCACTGGCCTGGCATTCAAGGCCCCCGTGACCTGGTCAGGGCCCTCCAGCTCCGGCCTGAGTCGCCTGCTCTGCTGGTCTGGAATGAGACTCCGGGAGAAAGGGCTGCAGGAGGCAGAACTCCAGCGTTCCCCTCAGGTGCCCCTGGGAGGGTGGGGCAATGACTCCCTCCCCTGCTGCCTTACGTGAGCTGAGGGCCCCTACAGAGATGCCTGAGGGATCCAGCAGTGCAGCGCAGTCCCTCTGGAGGCGGCGGCCAGCCTCAGGAGGGGGTCCGGGGAGCAGCATCCACACCATCTACCTCTGCCTGGGGCTTTGAACCCAGTCCCTGCGGTTTTCCTGTGAGCCAGCCACCGTGGCCCCATTTCACAGGTAGGAAACCGAGGCTCTAGGAGTTACATATGCAGGTTCTCTGTGTGGGCTGGCGTCTCTCCTGGAATCCTTTAGGGAGGGGCAGAGTGGAGCCGGCTCCCAGCCCCTCATGAAGGCCGGCATAGTCAGCACTGGTCTCAGCCGGAGCCCAGCAAGGCCAGCTCTCCCTGAGAGAGCTGCACTCCATTGTGTGGCTGGGTATGTTTCTGGCACTGGTAAATGTGCGCGGCCATGTGCTCATTCAGGTGTGGCAGGCTTCTCCTGCCCAATGGCTCGCCGTGGCTTCCCTGTCCCCCATGTCTCCAGTGCTTAGCGAGTCATGCCTGAGTGAATGCAGGCCCTCCTGCAGAGTCAGCTGGGAGGTGAAGGCCAGGTCCTCACCCAGGCCTGCTGTGAGGCTCATAGGGGCCACACCTGGGTGAGTGAGTGAATTCAGGCCCTCGTGCAGAGTCAGCTGGGAGGTGAAGGCCAGGTCCTCACCCAGGCCTGCTGTGAGGCTCACAGGGGCCACACCTGGGTGAGTAAGGGAATCAGCCAGGGACATCCGCTCAGCAGCGAGGCTGGCTTTGCCTCGTGGCTGCCTGAGCTATGGTCTGGGCCTGCCCACTGTGGTATCTGAAGACCCAAAGAGGCAAGTGTGCATGGCAGCCCTCCTGGGACCCTGGGTCTGTGCTGGCAGGCAGACATGTCCTTCTTTACCCCACCTGCCTCTCTGGCTTGGGCAGCCCTGGGGGTCCCTGTGTTGCTGCCGGCACAGCAGGCTGGTGGCTGCATGTGGACGTGTGCGTGTCCTGGGCCTGTGCATGGCGGGAGTGTGTGCATGTACATGTTGCCTCTGCATGTCTTGCATGTAGGAGTACGTGCATGCAGTGTGCGTGTGGGGGTGCATATGTTTGTGCACGTCTGAATGAGTGTGTACACGTGTGTGCACATGAGTGTGTCTGCATGGGAGGGTGTGCATTTGAGTGAGCATGGGCCAGCATGTGTTTATGTATTTCTCGGGAGGGGTTTCCTGCACTCTGTAGAAGAGGGGCCTTAAGTGGGGTTGAGGTACTCAGGGGAGAGGAGGACCCCAGCCCCCTCAATCTTGGCGCCACGTTAGACACCCCCATCCCCTACTGGTGGTTACCCCGGAATGGGAGGATCCAGGTAGGAGCTGCACACTCTGCTGCGTATGTTTCATATTAAATATCAGCTGTCCACAGGGTCTGCGGTGCTGCCATTAATATGGAGAAGTTATTACCGAGCCCGGAGCTGGCTCCTCGGGCTTGTCCATGAATTTCAATTACACTGCACGACGACTCCAGGGCTGCAGAGTGGGGTGCACAGCTTCCGCTCAGAGGCACAGGGAACCCTAGTGTCCAGGACCAAGGCCTGGGTGCTGCTGAAGCCAGGCAGGCTCTACGCCATCCCCACCCTGCCTTGTGCATTTCACGGGTTAACCCAGGGAAGGCAGGGGCCTATTGTGGGCTGGAGGCTGTTGCGGGTCACATGGTCCGCTGTGCTCCTCGTGACCGGCAGGGTGGACAAGCACCACGATCCTGAGAACCTTAGTTCCTCCAATAGCAAAAGATGGGTTCTGTCCGCACGCACTTCAGTGGCAGTGAAAGGGTGGGTGTGCAGCAAGCGCCTACCCCAGGCCCGGGGGTGAGAAAGCGGTGGCCGTGTCTGCATATCATTAGCTCTAAGGTGCCATCGGTTACGGGACACACCATTACTTTATACGCCACCAAGAAAGAGGAGACACTCCCATTTAAACTGCAACTCTGTGCCTTGTGGTTCCCTGGAGGCGCGGGCCCCACTGCCACAGTGCTTGGTTTCTCTGATGCTGTCTGCAGCCTAATGGGTGGGCCATTTCTGCTGCCTGGCCGTCGCTTGTCACGGCTCCCGGGAACTGAGTTCGGTTGGCTTCGTCCGCCTCCGGGGGTCTTCCTCTTGTGAATTACGAAGTAGCGGTCCTTCCTCCAGGGATAGGTATTTGCCTCACCGATGCAAAGCTACATGCGCCTTTCTGCGTGCACCCTAACTTTTTGACCTCACAGCGTGACTCTTCAAAGACATTTTGAGTGTCCAGGGTGTTGACAGTGAGGGACTGCGTTGGAAGTGTCGTGGCCCAGGAGGCGGGGGCCAGGGCCGGGGCCTGAGACCCGCCGATTGCATCCTCAGTTCAGGGGTTGGGAAATGGAAAGATGCGTGTTGGGGGGACCAGCCTTCACCAGCTCTGTGCAGAATGTCCGGGATTCATCTTTAAACCTGGGTATTTTTCCTTTGAAAGCCCTAATCTGAAATTTCAATGTATTAAAAGTATTTCCAAGTGTTAAAGCCTGTCATCTTTACACCCGGGTATTTTTCCTTTGAAAACCCCTAAACGACAAGGTTTGGAGAGCTTTGGGTTGGTGAACAGGTGAGGTGCTGGGAGGGTGAGTGCCCAGAGAGGGCGTGGAGGCTCTGCAGCCCTTCCCGTTACCTTGCCCTGCCCATCCCTCCCACGCGGCTGTTTGAAAGCAGGGATTGGGAGCACATGGAAAGTAGGGTGTCTTCACGTTTCATGCAAGGCTTGTCTAAGGCTTGCTAGTGGCCATTCTGATTGGGACAGAGCTTCTGGACATATGATGAAAAGGGGCTTGAGAGCTGTGAGCATATTGGTATGTATTTACATCTGTCTATTTTATGGGTTATAGTACACCATCGCCAGTCAGTTGCAAATGAAACCTCAGGTTAAGCAGTACCGCAGATACATTCTACTTTTCCATCTTTCTGTTCTTGTACCAATATTAAGCTGTGTTTATTATTAGAACTGTAAGGCTCTAATAGTCAAAGTATTAAGTACTTTGAAGCTTTGCTGTCCAATACAGTAGCTATAAGCCACACAAGGCTATTGAAGACTTAAAATGTGTCTGGTCTGAATTGAGAGGTACCCTGAGTATAAAATATACATTGGATTTCAGAGACTTCGTACCCCCCAAAAAGAATGTGGAATGTTTAATAGATCATTTTAAAGTATTGATTACAGGTTGAAATGGTAATATTTTGGGCATACTGGGTTAAATAAAATATATTTCTGAAATTAATTTCACCTGTGTCTTTTTTTTTTAAAAACATGGCTACATATAAAGCTCGAGTTCTATTTCTGTTGGACTGTGTGGCTTTGGAACATCTGGCTGGATACGTCCCCCTTTGCTGGTATTCTCTTACAAAATTTTCTTGGCTGGTCACATATGTTTATTCTTTCAAATGAATTTTAGAATTGTTTTGTCGGGTAGAAAAATCCCTCGTGAATTTGATTGATAGTAAATTAAACTTAGAAACTAATTAAAGGAGGAATTGACATAATTTACAGTATTCATCAGGAACATAGTATATTTTTTCAGCTTATTTCATTCTGCTTTGATGTTGTACCATGAAGTATTATATATACATATTTTTATACAGGTCATCCATTTTTAAAAATCAGGATTATTTCAAGGATTTTTTTTCTTTTTGCCATTGCTCATTGAATACTTTCCATCTATTGGTACACAGGAAGGCTACTGATTTTTATAGAACTATCTTTTATCAAGCAGCTTGATTGAACTCATTAATTCTAATATATCTTTGTGGAGTCCCTTGGGTTTTCTAGGTATACAGTTGCACTCTGTAAACACTGATAATTTTGGATCCTCATCTCCAATCTGCACCGTCTGGAACCTTCAGAGCGATGTTAAGTCACAGCCGTGGCTACACGCATCCTCATCTGTGCCTGGCTTTAACGGCAACGCCCCCGGTATTTCTCTGCTTAATACAGCGCTTGCTGTGGATTAAGATGGATTTCATGTGAAGGCAATATCCTCTGAATTCTCGTTTTCTAAGATCCCATTTTTATCAGTAAAGGAGCTGAAATCAAGATAAAATGTGTCTTAACTCTTAACGCTCCCTTCTCTCACCTCCAAAAGCCAGAGGTGTTGCGATTCCGGGGTGTTTGTGTTCTCAGCCTCGGCCTCAGCTGTCCACTTTGCTGGGCCAGGAATGAAACCCAGTCCCCATTTACGCACCATGGGAAGCCCTCGTAGGGAGGGGCAGCCTTCCTGCAGAAGGTGGGGGAGCCAGCACCTCCCGGCCACGCGGGTGACTTCTGGAAGAACAGGACCCTGTTCTTGGAAAGCCCTTTGGGCCATGTGTGGGGGCATTTCCACTTTCATCTGTGGGTTCTTTCTTCCCTCCCAGTGGCGTCTCCCTCCCTCTGTCCAGTTTCTCTGGAGCAATCCCTCCATTCTCCTCCTGTGTCTTAACAGCGGACTTTGCCCGCTGCTCTGAGGTGGTGGCACTGTCTGCAGAGTCTCCTGCTCTTCCAGTCCCACTGTTATCTGTTATCCCATGTGCTTCTAGAAGGTGTTTTTCCAAGCAAAGACATTTCCCTCCTTAGAAGAAATCTGTAGGCGGGGCACAGTGGCTCACGCCTGTGTAACTTGAGGAGGCTGAGGCGGGCAGATCACTTGAGGTCAGGTGTTTGAGACCAGCCTGGCCAATATGGTGAAACCCCATCTCCATTAAAAATACAAAAATTAGCTGGGCATGGTGGCACACGCCTGTAGTCCCAGCTACTTGGGAGGCTGAGGCAGGAGAATCTCTTGAACCCAGGAGGCGGAGCTTGCAGTGAGCTGAAATTGCGCCACTGCACTCCAGCCAAGCAGCAGAGTGAGACTCTGTCTAAAAAAAAAAAAAAAAAAAAAAACAGAAAAAAACCAAATCTGTGGCTTGTCTTGCAGAAGAGCATTTCCATTGTGTGATCTCTCTGCCTGCCCACTGATGGGCATGGGATTTGAGGAGCTTTGCACAGCATCTGTACATAGGCCCCATCCTGAGAGATTCTGCTTTATCAGACCTGCGTGAGCCCTGGGGTCTGTACTTTTCAAAAGCTACACAGGAGAGTCTTTTGTACAGCATGACGGGTGCTCACTAGCGAGGGCTGTGGGGAGTGGGGGCTCACAGACCAGACTTGGGGCCTGGCTCTTCTCTTGCTGGCCTGTGACCCTCCATTTTCCCAGTTAAGACACCACCTGCCTCACAAGGTGTGTGTCAGTGAGGGAGCAGAGGGGGATGAGGCTGGCTGGCCTCAGTCAAAGGGAATTCCATGGGGGGCTTGAGGTGGAAGGAAGCGATGGCCAGTGGGCATGGCCCGGCTTGGGATGCGGGAAGCTGCCACAGCGGTGTCGGCTCCTGGCCCTCTGCTCTCGGGTCTCTCACCTGGAAATTCAGAGCCCCGGCAGAAGGAAGGCAGCCGCCGTCGCATGGCTATCCCCAAGGCCACACAGTAGGGAGGGGTCCTCACAGGCAAGCGGGCAGGATAAGGGGGTGAGGGCTCCCAGGGCAGTAGCTGGCCTTTGCTGCAGGGCTGTCCACACTTGGCGGCCACCTGGAGCTCCATGGGCGTTGAGCACTGATCCTGCAGACCTGATCAGGGCAAGGTGGGGGCAGTGGTAGGCATCCTCCTTGGTGCTCCTCAGTGCCCTCCCAGGCAGGTGCCCAGGCCCTGGGAGGCTCCTGGTCTCCTCTCCTTCCCTTCCTTCCCCTCCCTTCCTCTCTGCACTCCTCCCTCCCTTCCTCTCCCATCCCCTCCCTCCCTCCCCTCTGCCCTCCCCTCTCTGCACGATGGCTGGCCACTGGCCACTGATCCCAGCACACTGGCCCTGAGCTGAGGTCTGGGCTTCTGGGGCAATGCAGGTTGGGTCACAGACTGAGGTACTGTCTGAGACCCTGTGATAGTGGGAAATTATAAATGTATGTTTGTTCTTCATCTCTGGTTCCTGCCTCAGAGCTCCTAAAACCTTTGTAATTTCCTGAGTGTTAAGGGTGATAGAAACACCTTTTATTATCAGATTTGGTCTGAGTCCCCTTGTTCCTGATATAAGAGTTTCTGGATTGTTGGGTTGAGAATTCAGCCTCACTTCCCCAACCTCTGGGGATGGGAGTCATGGAACTTCCATGAAAACCCCTAAATGACAAGGTTTGGAGAGCTTTGGGTTGGTGAACAGGTGGAGGTTCTGGGAGGGTGAGTGCCCAGAGAGGGCGTGGAGGCTCTGCAGCCCTTCCCGTTACCTTGCCCTGCCCATCCCTCCCATGCAGCTGTTCCTGGGTTGTGTCTTTAATAATCAACTGGAAATAGTAAGTAAAATGCCTCCCTGAGTTCTGTGATCTGTTCTATTAATGAACACATGTCTGTCTGATTCCAAGGTCACAGTTACTTTTGCACCAACCTAATAGCAAATTACAGAACCTGAGGAGGGAGTTGTGGGACCCGCCCAATTTATAGCCGCCTGGTCAGAGGCACAGGTGGAAAGCTGGAACTTGCCACCGCAAGTGGGGCTGCTGTGTGGGACTGAGGCCTTAACCTGAGGGCTAAGCTGACCCCAGGTAGTTGGCATGAGCATTGCACTCAACTGTGGGGCACCCAGCTAGCGTCTGGAGGTTGGAGAACTGGTTGGTGTGAGGGAAACCACATGTTTGGTGTCAGAAGCATTGTGAGTGAAAACAGATCCCAGTGGACCTCACCCAGCCTGGGGGCTCTGATAGAACAAGGGGAGGTCCCAGACCAGGGCTCAGCCCTGCCGACAGGGAGAAGGCCTGAGTTTCCAGAACAGCCCTAAATGCAGCTGCAGAGACAACTGTCATAGGACGGTTGTGCTGGGTCCTGGTGCTGGGAGCCCCTCCCTCCCTTCCCCCTCCTCTCCCTCCCTTCCCCCTCCTCTCCCTCCCTTCCCCCTCCTCTCCCTCCCTTCCCCCTCCTCTCCCTCCCTTCCCCCTCCTCTCCCTCCCTTCCCCCTCCTCTCCCTCCCTTCCCCCTCCTCTCCCTCCCTTCCCCCTCCTCTCCCTCCCTTCCCCCTCCTCTCCCTCCCTTCCCCCTCCTCTCCCTCCCTTCCCCCTCCTCTCCCTCCAGCTTCTCCTCCCCTTCCCTCCTCTCTCTTCCCCCTTCTTTTCTCATTCCTCTTTTTCCCACTCCCCTCCCTTCTCTTCTCCCTCATCTCCCCTTTTTCCCTTTTCTCTCCATTCTCCCTTTATGTCCTCTCCCCTCCCTGCCCCTTCTGTCCTCTCCCCGTTCCCACCTTTCTTTCCCAGAGTCTTTCATCAGCCAGGACTCCTGGGGACCCTTCCTGGCTGGGGGCCCTTCGTCGTCAGCTGCACTCTGCACCTGTACCTTCCTGGTACATTCTGGGAACCAACAACGAGCCATCCCAATGTGCTGGGAGGAAATCAGGGCACAGCGATGGGGATGACCCACCCCAGGTCCCACAGAGCCCAGAGCCAGCTCCTTTCACTGCAGCTGGAGCACCAGATGAAATCTGTACCTCCTCAGAGGTACAGATAACTCCCCACCTGTACAAGCAGGGTGAATTGCTGAAAAGGGGAATTCATGTCTCCTCTCCTTGGCCTGCTACTGAGTTCTTGGTGCATTTTCTAGCAAACAAGGTCAAGGCTGAGTCCCTGCCCTGCCAGAGCATCCTCCACCTCAGATAGGGCGGCTTGGCCTTTGGGCTGTCTTTCCTGTTGGGGTGCCCAGGCTGTCACGGGCTGTGTCCTCACTGGGGAGGGTGGCCCGATGAGCAGGGCTGCTGGGAAGGTTGTGCAGGTGGTGTGCTGGGCAAGGTGGCCAATGAGGCCAGCCTTTGCTCCGTCTGGGAGTGAATGGAGTGGAGGTTGGAGGGTGCGCAGCGCTGGGTGGAGATCACGGGCACTGGGGGAGGGGAAATGTGTGCCAGGTGTCTGCCTCCACAGTCAGGTTGCCAGAGTTGCTGCGTTCTTCTCTTTGCAGAGCTTCTGCATTCTCGGGACTAGGGACATTAAAAACCAAAGCCGGGGCAGTTGCAGGGAGGCTGCTGGACATTGCAGGTGGCCCTGATTGGGGCAGTCTCAGCTGTGGTGACTACGCTGTGGCCTTTGGGGCCAGGGATGGCTGGTCCAGGACTGGGCATGGTATGGGGTGGGTAGATGTAGGCCGTCTCTGTCTTGGTGTCAGCCTGTCCTGATAGACTCTGGGGGCTCAGAGTCCTCACAGCCTTCCCCCAACCTGCCTGCAGGTGCCCACCTGGCTCCCCAAGGCCTGCAGGAGTCCGCTGGGGCTGGGCTGGCCTGGGACCCTTGGTGGGAGTCAGGCAATCGTGTTATTGTTGAAACTTGTTTCCTTTTTTTTTTTTTTTTTTTGAGACGGAGTCTCGCTCTGTCGCCCAGGCCGGACTGCGGACTGCAGTGGCGCAATCTCGGCTCACTGCAAGCTCCGCTTCCCGGGTTCACGCCATTCTCCTGCCTCAGCCTCCCGAGTAGCTGGGACTACAGGCGCCCGCCACCGCGCCCGGCTAATTTTTTGTATTTTTAGTAGAGACGGGGTTTCACCTTGTTAGCCAGGATGGTCTCGATCTCCTGACCTCATGATCCACCCGCCTCGGCCTCCCAAAGTGCTGGGATTACAGGCGTGAGCCACCACGCCCGGCCTGAAACTTGTTTCTTTAATGGCTGGTGGTTACGGCCCCCAACTTTCCTCCTCTGAAGCTGATTGGTTCTCCCTGGGGCTAGTCATTAACCCTCTGCTAGCTTGGGTGGGTTTATATTTGCAGAGCTTCCTTTTTTATTCTGCCGGGCTGGTGTTTTGTTTCTTCGGTCAGCTCTGTCAGCCTCTCTAGTTGCTTTCTTCTGGTTACTCAGCCTGTAGAAAAGTATCAGCCTTTCAAAGAAATACTCCATTATATGTTTTGCTTTTTTCCTGACTTGATTTTTAAATATATAACTCCTTTAATTCAAGTGAAATGTGTTTCTTATACTGTATAAGGTGTTGGTTTTAAGTGTTCATTTTTTTCTAAATTGCCATGCTGTTGTCTCAACACCATTCGTTTGCTAATTCACTCTTTCTTCTTGACTTTGGAATGTATATTCCATCATCTGTGAAGTTCATGGAGGATATGGGGTTTATTTCTGGCCTTTCTGGGTTTTGTTTTGTTTTTTTTTTTTTTTTTGAGACGGAGTCTCACTCTGTTGCCCAGGCTGGAGCGCAGTGGCACTATCTCGGCTCACTGCAAGCTCTGCCTCCTGGGTTCACGCCATTCTCCTGCTTCAGCCTCAAGAGTAGCTGGGACTACAGGCGCCCGCCACCACACCCGGCTAATTTTTTGTATTTTTAGTAGAGACGGGGTTTCACCGTGTTAGCCAGGATGGTCTCCATCTCCTGACCTCGTGATCCGCCCTCCTTGGCCTCCCAAAGTGCTGGGATTGCAGGCATGAGCCACTGTGCCTGGCCTTTTCTGTTTTTCTTTTGCACCAGTCCAGGGGTCTTTAATTGCTGTTGGTTGACAATATGTTCTGACATCTGATAGGGCAAGTATCACCATCGTGAGGTTTTAAAAAAATGCCTAAAGTAGTGTCCCCTTTGCAGAAGGCCCTCAGCAAATCTTTGCTGAACAAATGAACGACATCTTCATGATGTTTAATTTTCTCACGGAAATAAGAAGATTGATTCAGATGTTTAAAAACATAGCCCAGTAGGTTTATTACTAAGAGACTTAGAATGTTATTGCCATTGTCAATAGGGTCTTTTCCATTATATTTTACACCAGATTGTTATCTGGGAACACTTTTAATTTATAATACAGTAGGTGATTATTTACTCAGAATACCTGGGACCTGCTTCTTTCAGACTAATGATATTCTCAGAATTTAGACATCTTTATTCCCAGGGAGAAAACAGAGTTAAAAATGACACATTAGTGCAAATCATACATGCATGTGCAGAGCTGCCACGAACCACTTGATACCCATGGTTGACCTGGCAAGCCCAAGCCCCAGCATTGCTGTCCTCAAGGCGCGCCCTTCCTGGCAACAGCCCCTGCTTCAGATCCTTTGCTCCCAATGACCTGCATCTTCCCATGTCTTAGCAAAGCAGTCTCTCTGTTACTAGAATGGCACAAATATGAACCACAGATAATCACAAAAAGTCCTTCTGAAATAAATCTCTTGCCGGGTGCGGTGGCTCACGCCTGCAATCCCAGCACTTTGGGAGGCCGAGGCGGGTGGATCACGAGGTCAGGAAATCGAGACCATCCTGGCTAACACGGTGAAACCCCGTCTCTACTAAAAATACAAAAAATTAGCCGGGCGTGGTGGTGCGCGCCTGTAGTCCCAGCTACTCGGGAGGCTGAGGCAGGAGAATGGCGTGAACCCGGGAGGCGGAGCCTGCAGTGAGCTCAGATCGCTTGCACCACTGCACTCCAGCCTGGGCGACAGAGCGAGACTCTGTCTCAAAAAACAAAACAAAACAAACCTAAATCTCTCGCTTGGATGTTTCCCATGTTTGCGTTCCCAGATATATGAGTTTCTCTATTTATTTTGCATCTAGACTTTTTATGAACTTCCTTGTTATTATTTGGTTCCTTTTTTTGGATGTTTTTGGGGGTGAGGATTCTCTACGTGTGCAGTTACTTTCTGCAGTTCATAATATTGTCTCTTCTTTTTCAACATGTTTTCGTTTTATGTCTTTAGTAATTTTGTGTGGGAGCTACAACCATGCCTTCAGAGCATCTAGCCCCGCTTCTAAGGGAATTGAGAACCAGGTGCTGCTTCTTCTGTGAATGCTGGTGGTGGTAGACCCAAAGTGGACAAACCTTGGCCTGAATGGATCTCCCAGGCCCATTTCCCCACGGTGGCACGGCTTTCCTTTCCCTGCTCTCTTGCATCAAGTAGAGCTTCGAACGCAGGATGTGCCCATGTTGTGGTTTTATGGGGATGAGTGGCGGCGGTTGACCTTCCCTTTCAGTCAAGGAGGCTCTCTCAGTCCCTCGTGGTCTGTTAGGTGTCCCCTGTGGTTGGGGAGCAGTGCACCGGGCATGCACAGGGTTGTTTGCAGGCTGGCAGGAAAACTGCGGTCTTTGAAAGATGCCCTGAGTTTCTACGGGGGATGTGGTTCAGTGAGACACTTTCAGGAGAAGGCTGGCGAGTAGATTCGGTGGTACAACCTGGAGACTCTATGAATGTGGACTGAGGAGCCCTGTTTTGAGTCCCTGCCTTACCCTTCACAATGAGATAATTTTCTGCACTTCAGGGTTCCCATTGTGCAGGGCGGAGTTTGCACACTGGTGGGCCACGGGCCATGTCCACCCACAGATGAGTTTTGTTTGGCTTTTCCAGTGTTTGAAAATTTCTCACAAAGCTCAAGATTTCCAGTTTCTCTTGAGAACCAGGAAATCTGCCGGGCCTATGTGCTGGAGGGCTAGAGCTGAGCAAGGATGGAACCCTCTAGAAGGGTCCCACAGTTCCAGGTGCCTTGGGAGTCTCTGCTGCTCCCTATCATTACCCTGGCGGGCTTCACGCGCATTCACTCCCTGTGTAGGCACCTGAGAGTTTCTCTTATTTTGAGATGAGTGCTGCATGGGCTTTGGAACGGTCATTTCTTCCTCCCCTCTCTCTCCCTCTCCCTCTCCCTCTCCTTCCCATGACTTCAGTTTTTGGCCATCAGCCCCTGCAAGGTCCCGTGCGCTGGAGTCAGACGCGATCTCGCTCCAACACGTGGGCTTGGTTTTCTGCTCCCTCCCTCCCTGGGCGAGCGAGCCTCCTGTTTCTCATCTGTGAAAGGTAAAAGCTGATGACGGTAACTACTCTGGTGGGTTATGATGAGGATTAAATGAAGCGAGGGCCAGCACTGAGCAGCGAAGGGCCTGTTACTACAAGATCATATTTTCCTGATGGCGCTGCTAGGAGGGACCACAGTGTGAAAGCGCTTGGACACACGGAGCCAGGTGCAGATTTTGTCCCTTTTGAGAGCTCTGTGGGCGGGGCTTGGGCGGGCATGGGAGTGGGGGGCGGGGCCGGGGGCGGGGCACAGGCCGGGGTAGGATGCTCTCCCTGCCCCAGGCATCACCGGCCTGGGATGTGTTGCCAGTGGAGGCCGTTACTGTTCTGAAATGGAATTCCTGGGTCAGAATAAGAACAGATGTTTACTGGAAGAGGCCAGGAGCCGCTGACATCACCGAGAGCCCCTCAGGACATGGCTGAGGCCAAGGGTCCTCTAGCTCTTCCCGCCAATACAGCATTCCTGGGGCAGCTGCCCGGCTGGGGGTGGACACACACACACACACACACACACACACACGCACACACAAACGCCATTTCTCCACCAAATCCTTCCCACCTGAAAACAATTAGTCAAGATGCGGAAAAGATTTCCAGTCTGGAATGGGAGAAGAGTCTCGTGGCGGGCAGGCCCCAAGAAGGGAAATGGAGGTCAGTGTGGCGAGGGGATGTGCAGGACGGAGAGGCAGCCTTTGTTGGGGGAGCGCTCTGATCCCTTCCTCCGCACCCCTCAGCTGGGAGGACTTGGCCGCCTGGCCGTTCTCCTTTGGGAGTGAATCCGGAGGGTGTGGCCCAGAGGCGGCTGGCCTCGCTCCTGTCCTCCCATCCACACCTGTGCAGCTGGTGCCTGTGCCCCTGTCCCTCCCACAGGCCATCCCCAGGTCCACACTCCTGTGACTGCAAGTGACAGAAAACCGGGGCAGAAGCGGCTGGGGCCAAAGGGGGAATGCGGGGCTCAGGGCGGCAGCCCAGGCCTCCCGCACGGTTTCAGCTCAGCCGCCCTCCCCGTGGGTCCTGCCTGGGCAGTGCACCAGCCGCCCGGCAGAGAGAGGCCCAGGTTCCCCGAGGGTTTCTGGGAGAGCCCAGTGGTGAGTTCTCACTGGCTCAGGTTGGGTCACATGCTTCAGGCAAATCACTATGGCCAGGACAGCGGAGCAGGACTTCGGCTGGCCAGGCCTCGTCACAGGACTGCTGTGGCTCCAGGGCTGGCGTCTGTCCTCTGACCCTCTGGGAGTGGGTCGGGGAGAGGATGGGCCCCAGAGGAAAGCCAGGCTGATGTGTCAGGAGGAGCTATGGGTCCCCATTGCCTTCTGTCTCCAGGACATCTGCCCTGTCTTCTCCCTGCCCCCGTTTCTCCCACTCCCTTCCAGCTGCCCATGATAAGCACGCGGTCTCCCTTCCGTGCCCCACCCGAAATGCTCCCCATGGCTCCTCCACTTTGAGGGTAAAGCACAGGCCCCCAGAACCAGCATTCAAGGCCCCTCCTGACCATCATCATTTCCTGCTTGCTCTACCCACCATGTCCACCTTCCCGTTCATCCTGTGGGCCTGGGACAGGAGCTCCGAAAGATCACACACACCCATCAACTGTCAACTCTGCCCACGTTGGAAACAGTGCCTGTGGCAGGTGCAGGAGGGGACCATTTGTCTTGGCTGAAGTTGAATCTGAAAATGACCTAAGGACTTGAAGGAACCAGGGCCTAGTGTGTGTCGGGGTGTGATCGGGTGGCTGAAGAAGCTGAGACTCCTTGGGCCTCATGGGCTTTGCATTAGCAGAGCAGACAGTGGGGGGGTCCCTGAGGACCTCTGGGCTTTTGCCTGAATGCTGGGAACCCCATAGGCCTGGCCAACTTCTCATCACCCCTCTTCCAGCAAACCTTCCTGTCTTCTGTCCTGGTAGTTAGCACAGCTGTTCCATGTCGTGAACCCTCCTGCCAGCCTGGTGAGGCCCATGGACCCCTGATCAAAATAATGTGTTTAGTGTACACTACAAAATACAAAGGAAATAAATCTGATTGAAATAAAGCTATCGGCCAGGCATGGTGCCTCACGCCTATAATCCCAGCACTTTGGGAGGCCAAGGCAGGAGGATGGCCTGAGCTCAGGAGTTTGAGACCACCCTGGGCAACATGGTGAAACCCTGCCTCTACTAAAATACAAGGAACTAGCCGGGCGTGGTGGCGGGCATCTGTAGTTCCAACTATTCAGGAGGCTGAGGCACGAGAATTGTTTGAACCCTGGAGGTGGAGGTTGCAGTGAGCTGAGATCGCACCACTGCACTCCAGTTGGGGCTATAGAGTGAGACTCTGTCTCAAAAAAAAAAAAAAAGAGAAAAATAAAGCTATCAACATACACATGCTTTTAAAATTTTTAATCATTATTATACCTTACACATTTTTGATAATAATGTTATTGAGACATAATTCACATACTATGTATTTTACCAACTTATAACGTAAAATTCAATGAATGGCTTTAGTATGTTCACAGAATGGTGCAACCATCACCACAATTTTAGATCATGTTCAAGACTCTGAAAAGAAACCCCAGACCCTTTAGTAACCCCCAATTACCCCGTCCTCCCAGGCCTAGGCAACCACTGACCTACCTTCTGCCTGTATAGATTTGCCTGTTCTGGGCATTTCATTAGTATAAATGAATCACACAATATTTGCCCTTTGTGTCTGGCTTCTTTCACTCAGCATAATGTTTTCAAGGTTCATCTAGGTTGCAGCATGCATCAGAGCTTCATTACTTTGGATGGAAAGATATGATTCCATTGCATGGATGTACCACAGTTTTTTAAATCCACTCATGGGTTGATGGATTGGGTTGTTTCCACCCTTTAGCTCTTGTGAATAATGCTGCCAGGAACATTCATGTAAAACTTTTTTGTGTGCTTTTAATTGATGCATTAAATAATAAGACCTAGGAGTGCATCTTACAGCCTCTATAATTTAAGTTGTGCTGAGTGTAAACACCATTTGGTCTGGTCTGCAGCAGCGGTGCTGACAGTTGCCGAAGCCTGTGATTTCTGCCCTGACGGGCGCAGGTGCTGTTAAGTCTGGGGTTGCTGCCTCTCTCCAGAGTTGAAGGGAATGGCAGCTTTCAGTTCCCAGTTAGTAAAGATGAAGTTGAAGTGTTCTCTTTTCCCAGTTTATGGAGCCCAGGTTAAGAACTCTCCAGGGAGCTCCCACAGGGCAGTGACAGGTCCCAACGGCCCCTGGCAAGTGCTGTGGCCTGTGGCAGGACCAGGTGTCCAGATCAAGCTGGCGGCTGTTCTGCCTGCCCTCAGCCATGCTGACACCTGCCACGAAGCCTGGTGTCTGCTTCTTTCTCCTCCCCAAAGTATTCTCTCTGTCCTTAGCTTGGGAGTCCTACAGCTGGAGGGTGGGGGGCCCAGGCCCTCCTGGACTGCTGCCCCTGGGGCCCCATTGTCTTTCCTTCTGCCAGGCCATTTCCCTTCGCAGCTATTTAGAAGGGAAGGCAGCCAAAGGCCTGTCAGAAGGGGGACCACGGATGGATTTTCCATCAGATGTGCAGACCTGCTCCCTGACACTGGCTGGCTCGGTGCCTGCCTCTCGAGGGCACCAGGCCTCTGTCACTTCCTGTGCAGCCCCTGCCAGCCATGAGACAGGTGAGGGCTCCTTGGTTTTGTGGAGACTGTCAGTCTTGGCTCTGGAGTGGCCTCAGTCCTAGGCAGCTCAAGTTCTGCCTCCCGCCAGTCCTGTCTGCAGGCAGGATCCAGTCCTCACGCACCCATGCTGGGCACGGCCCTGCTTCCACACCGTGCTCAGGAGGAGAGCGTCCACTCCCAGGAGAGGACTTGCCAGGCACCTCTCCTTAGGGACACCTGCAGTTAGGGGTCTGGCGCCAGCTTGTGTGTGAGAGATTAACTCCCCCTGGTACCGTCAGGCCCCGAGTGAGGGAGCCGCAGCCCAGAGAGGCCTCTTTCTGTCCAGTTTGCATCGCCACATTTGGGTTTCTGTCCCGCCTGGCCTGGGCCCCACCTGCCTGCGGAGCTGCCGAGGCCCTCGTCTAGTGCCCTCCCAGAGGGGCCTTCAGTCCTGGTTCTTATATTACAGAGGCAGCCAGAGGCTTCCCTGACTCTGTGGCTGGCGCAGCCTTGACAAGTCATCTGGAATTGGCTCACGGCCTCCTCGCGTCTCCCGGTGTCTGATGTGGCAATGAAGCTCTATTTCAGGGCCTGCGGGAGGACCCAGCGTGGCTCAGGGTTTGTCCTCAAGGGAGGGCGTGGATCAGAGCCTGTAGTGCGGACCTGGGTGGGGGAGGGAGAACTGGACCCTGCACTCCCTCCTGTGTGACCATGGGCGGGTTATTTCACTTCTCTGCACTTTCAGAGTCTCCACCTTGAGATGGCCCCGTGAGGACTGATTCAAAGAAGGCACGGGCCGTGGGTGCATCCTCTGCTCCTCTCCCCACCTGCGCTGGGTCCCATCAGATTTTGGCATTCCCAGCACCGGCAGTCCTGGGGTGACTCACGATGGCTGGCAACTTTTTGTCCTGTCTTTAAGTTAAAAACTGTCGTATGTGCCTTCATATAAAACAGAATGCAGAAATAAGCCAAAAGGAGAAAATGGAAATCCCTGCAGTGCCATTAGCTTTCAACATTTTTGTGTGTCTCCCACGTCCATGCACATATGTGTAAACATACTTAATGACAAAAGGGTCGTATTGTACCTTCCCTTTGTGATCTGCCTCTGCCCATGCCACATATAATGGAAATATTTCTGGATCATCCAGTGTTCTGCCGGAACATCTTTCAATAGAGGCAGCATAATCTACTCAGGAAACATGGAGAGGCCGGGATCTCCAGGCACTTGGGTCTGTGGGCCTGGGGGCTGAGGGAGAGGCTGAGGAAAAGCACTCCCCAGCTTTTGACTTGCACAGATGGGTGGTAGAGAGGAAGGGTAGCTTGGAGAGAGGGTTTGTCACTGGGGCTGTCTCTTGGAAGGAGTCTGGCAGCTGGAAATGCAGGTCCTAGGTGCAGGGGCAAGGTCTGGGTAGAATTCGGGTTGGGAGCGCTCTGTATGGAGGGCTGTGGATTCCACATCCTAGGGTGGGTGGGCGGGCACCAAAGGAAGAGGGAGGCAGAAGGGGAAGGAAGTGCTCCTTGGCCCCCCACCATGTGCAGACAAGTGGAGGAGGCAGTGGAGTCTTAGGAGCGGGGCTGCCCACCTGCTAAAGGATGAGAGAGGTTCAAGAGGAGGGGGTTCAGGGAATTGGGATGGCAGGGGGCATCAGGCCCAGCAGCCAAGAGGGGGCTTTGCAGGGTCGCTGGGGAGTTGGTGGAAGCTAGACTGACCAGGTGAGGGGCCAGTGAGAGGCAAGGGAGTGGAGGGAAGCTGGTGCGCATGGCACACATGCTGCGGTGGGGCAGACATCAGCTGCGGAGGGTGTGCAGTCTTAGATGTGAGTGCAGTGTTTACGTGTGCGCTTGTGTAGATGTGTGTGTGGCCCTGCCTCGAGCACAGAGGATTTTAGGTGGCTTGAGTTTGCTCAGGGACCGAGGATGAGGATCCGGGAGATGGAGAGTTTGAAGCTATAGAAGAGAGAGTGTATTAGTCAGGTGTTATTCCTCAAGTGTTGGAAATCCAAGTAAAAGTGGCTTCAGAAAAAAGAAAAAAAAACTTATTGGTTAATCTGCAAAAAGAAAAATATCTAGAACTATCTAGCTTCAGGTGTGGCTGGATCCAGGTGCCCAAATAAATTTTCAGTTGTTTTTTTTCCCACATCCCCAACCCTTGGCTTTGCTCTCCTCTGTGTCGATTTCACTCTCAGGCCTGCTCTTCTCTGAGGCAGAAAAATGGATGCAGGCAGCTGCTGCATTACCTCCTCACAGGGCAACAACCCGGGGGAAACAGCTTTTCCTTTCCAACAATTCCAGCAATAGTTCCTGGATTTAACTTCATGGAATACCTTGTGGCAAGTCCTCATCCCTGAGCTATGTTCATGTAGTCAGATGACAACGTATTCTACCTGGCCTAGGCTGGGTCATGTGCCCTCCTTGCCCACTGGTGACGCAGGGATGAGAGCTGGTTCCTGAGTGACACAGGGGCTGTGCTATCAGAAGGAGAAGGGTGGGCCAGGAACAGTGGCTCATGCCTGTAATCCCAGCACTTTGGGAGGCTGAGGTGGACGGATCACAAGGTCAGGAGATTGAGACCATCCTGGCTAAAATGGTGAAACCTCGTCTCTACTAAAAATACAAAAAAAAAAAAAAAAATTAGCCAGGCGTAGTGGTGGACACCTGTAGTCTCAGCTACTCAGGAGGCTGAGGCAGGAAAATGGTGTGAACCCAGGAGGTGGAGCTCGCAGTGAGTCAAGATCGTGCCACTGCACTCCAGCCTGAGTGACAGAGCGAGACTCCGTCTCAAAAAAAACCCAAAAAAATGGAGGAGGGTGGACTCCAGGCAGGCTTAGGGTTCCCAAGGAAGTGGCTGGGGCCAGGATTGGGAGACCTGGAAGGCTGGAGGAGGGAGCTGCTGCCCAGGAGCACAGCAGGAGAGAGAAGGACACGAGGCAGACATGGAGCGGGAGGGAATTTCCTCCGTGGCCTCCCTTCCCTCACCAGGCAGGGCAGGGACAGTGAGGCTGCTGACCAGCCTCTACAGCTCTCCTGGGAGTCGGCTGGCTCTGCAAGGCAAACAGAAGGCTGGGGAGGTTGACTGATCACCGGCTGCTCCAGGAGCCGTCAGGCTGGGCAGCAGGAGTGGCCTGAATGCAGAGAAGCAAGCCTTGAGATCAGGCAGGGCAGTCTTCCTACATTAGGAGTCTGGGACCAGGCATTCTGTGGGCCAGGCCGGAGATGTGGCAGGCTGGGTGTGAACGTGCTGACCAGTGGGGACCTGGGTTTGGGTGCTGGGGAGCCAGGCGTAATGACTGCGGGGGCTGGTGAAGGCTGAGTCCAGTCTGCACGCATGCTTCCTGTGGTTTCTGGGTGAAAAGAGGGTCACAGCTTTTTGCCTCAACAGAGGGGAGAGGCTTCTATTCTACTGGTTGAGTGTGGATGGGGAGGGCTGGGAGGGGTAGGATGAGGTGGTAGAGACATACAATAAGCAAAAGGCCAAATAAACACCTTCTCAGGTAGTGGCAGGAACTGGGAAAGTAAGCAAGCAGGCAGTGAGGCTGGGAGCAGCAGGAGGGTGTGAGTGAGTGCATGTGTGTGGCTGATGTGTGAGCACGTCAGTGATGCATGTGTGCAAATGTGAGGCATGTGTGAGTGCATGAGTGTCATGCATGTGTGCACATGTGTGGGCGTGTGCATGTATAATGCATGTGCTTGATGCATGCATGTGTGCACTGCATGCCTGTACATATGATACCTGCATATGATACACATGTATGACCGATGCACATGTGTATGTGTGGGTAATGTCTGCCATGCACATGCATGGGGCATTTTTCTGGTGCATGTGTGTACTTGTGTGTAGTGCACATGTGTGGACATGTGTATGTGATGCATGTGTCACAGGAGATGCACATATGAGTGATGTGTGTGTGCATGCGTCTGCATGGTGCCTGTGTGACGCCTGCGTGTGAGTGCACACGTGGTGCATGTGATGCGTATGGACATTTGTATGTGGGTGCATGCATGCTGCATGTGGGAGTGCATGAGTGCACATGCATGTGTGTGGGGGCCTGTGTGTTGAGGGAATAGCTGTTGGGAACCCTCAGTCATAACAGGGCTGTGTGAAATCTTCAGCTGGAGGAAGACAGGAGAGAAATAGCGTGCAGCTGTGTTCCTAATGGCACACACGCCCCTTGCCCAGAGTGCATGGTGGAAGAGGGCTTTCTGGCCCAGGGACCAGCTCTCTTTGTGGCCCAGGCCTGCTGCTTTTGGGCTGGGGTCTGACCTTCCTGGAAGACCCTTCGGGGCCCCGCCTCTCAGAGGCCAGGCCCCAACGTCTCAACGCTCAAACAGCGACATCAGTGTTTCCCCCAGGGGAGTCATCCTGGGGAGGCTCAGCTCCATCCTGAGCCGAGGGGGCCTTGGCATTGCCCCACCTGCCCTGGTCTGAGAAGGAGCTGTCCTCTGCCTCTCTGTGGTCTCATGGGGACAAATGCCAGCCACTGGACAGTGGCCCTTGTCGTCTTCTAACTGTCAAGATTCCAAAAAGACGGAGGCGAGGGGTGTGCGGGAGCACCCTCTGCGTGTGCTTGGCTTCTTCCCCACCAGCCTTCTTGTGAGAGGGCTAGAAGCAGCTGTCCCACTTTGCAGTGGGCCCTGTCCCTCCTGGCAGGGCAGCTGTGGCCGTCCCTGGCTGTCCCCGCCCCGCCCGGCATCTCCTTCTCTCCCCATCCCCTGTCTAGCTGGCCCCGCCTCTCCTCCCTGTCTTGCTTTAGTCTCATGCCTTTTTAATGAGGGCTCAGCCTCCTGTGTGCTGAGGCTCAGCGGCAGCGCATTTAATTAATACTCTCGCATCGCAGTTCTTCAGAGTAAATGCTGCCATTTTATTCCTCACTAATTGGAAGGGGCTAGTTAAGCTCTGAGATAAATGACCCTTTCTGCTGGGAGTGTCTCAGCTCAGAGTCTCCATGAGAGTGGCTGGAGCCTTGGATGGGAAGGGCAGGAGGGCTGGCCTGCTGTGTTCCTCCTGGTCCAAGGGGGGCCTCTTTGCTAATGGCCAGGGTAGAGACGTGGCCAGGGTGAAGCCTGCCTGACCTTTGGGGAGGACGTGCAGGTGGAGGCTCTGCTGACCAGCAGGGCTTCAGATTCATCACTGCCCGTTCCTCATGTCCCGGCTCCACCCCAGCCCTGGATGAGCCCCAGGGACCCCAGGGAACCTTCAGTCTGGGTTTCCAGAACCTTTCCCTGGCCCAGTCTACACCTGCCTCCCTCCCTCACTGTGGACCAGCCCCACCTCTACCCTCCATCCTGTACGTCTGCTCCACTCTCCCCAGCTGGCGATGAGTCTGGCCAGGGAGTCTCAGCTGGTGCTGGCACGCTAACCTCCCCTAGACGCGTGCTGAAATGTACACGTGTGTGTGTGGGTGATGTATGCGATGCACATGTGGGGGCGTTTGTGTGGGGCATGTGTCCCTCAGCACACATATGCTCTGTGCCCGCTGGCCATCCGGGGGACATAGATTACACCAACACTGCAGTGCTGCTGGCCACCCATGGTCTGGGCAGCAGGAAGAGGTGCAGGAGTCCCCACACAGTGTCGCTGGGATGGCCTCTGGGTCCGTGCTTATAGAAGTCTCATGAGTGCACCCTCCGCCCACCTGCTCGCATCTCTCTCCCTCCACGAGGAACTGTGCTGTGGCCTCCTGGGTCTTCAAGCTCCTTTCCTGTTGTGTTGGTGACAGGAATCGGGGTCAGAAGGGCAGCGTCCGAGCAGGCTTGGATGAGATGTGTGATATTGTGTTACCATATCAGCGACTCTGCTAGCTGAGTCCATCTTCAGGGACAAGGATAGCTGTAGCCAGACCTACGCATGGATTTATGAGGAACTACCAAGAAACCACTGGGAGGAAAGACGCCAAAGTGCTGAGGAAAAGGATGCTCAGAGGTGGCCCTGCTGCCAGCTGGCAGAGTGACAGGAGGGCTGGAGGCTGTGGGGACCCAGGCCACGTGGGGTTGGGGCTCTGGGCTTTGTCCTTGTGTTCCTGTAATTGTCTGTTGCTGAGAATTAGCTGGAATTTCTTTCTTTCCTTCTTTTGTTCTTTCCCTATCCTTTCCTTCCTTTCCTCTCTTCTTTCCATCCTTTCTCACCACTGTGTATTCTTTTTAAAAAATTAAATATATTTCCTTTTTTTGAGACAGGGTCTTGCTCTCTCCCGGGCTAGAAGGCAGTGGTGCAATCGTAGCTCCCTGCAACCTTGACCTCCTGGTTCATGGGATCCTCCTGCCTCAGCCTCCAAAGTAGCTGAAAGTACAGGTGTGCACCACCATGCCTGGCTAATTTTTTAAATTTATTTTTTGTAGAGATGGGGTCTCACTATGTTGCCCAGGCTGATCTTGAACTTCTGGACTTAAGCGGTTCTTGGCCTCCCAAAGTGCTGGAATTATAGGTGTACACCACTGCGTCCCGTCCCCACTTCATGTTCGACAGCAGTTCTCCGTGCCTGCTCTGCCCTGGGCCTTGCTGGACTGGGGTTGAAGAGGCAGCCTTCTGTTCTCTTGGAGCTCACAGGTTCCTGGAGGGACACAGCAGGAAGGTCTCAAATGCCATCCCTGGGAGTGGGGAGGGTGTTCTGTGGGGCTGGGGAGCCCTAGGGGGCCTAGGCAGGAGCCTGGGATGCCCACATGCAATGACCCCCTGAGCTGTGGCCGACTCCCCAGCCCTGCTCCTGAGGGCCCTGCTGCTCTCAGCATCTCCCAGGGTGTCACCCTTCTGGGTTGCTAGATCTCTGCTGCTCTGGTGTGGCCTCTGTCCCTGCCGACCCCTCTGAGGGACACAGCTGTCCTCTGCTGCGGTGGCTCTGGCCTCGGAATGGGGCAGCCTCTTCCCTCCAGGCAAGAGCCTTTGAATTCTTTGCCAGCAGGACTTCCTGGGCTCTTGTCTCCCGTCTGCTGCCCGGTGCCCACGCCCCAGTCTGGGACTTGGATGTCTGCCTGCTGCCTCCCTGTTTACACTGATCTGATCTGCTCTTTCCCTCTGGGAGCTTTTGAACTTTCTCTTTGTCTTTGATGTTCTTAGGTTTCATTATCGTGGGTCTAGCTATGGAGCTTTTTCTTATATATGTATTGATAAGGCCTCTAGGAACCCATCCATGCTGGAATCTTTCATGTAATTTTGTTTTTTGAAATATTCCTTCTCTCACCTCCCCGACTCTCTTCTGGGACTTGCCCACGTCTCGCAGCTTTTCTCCCTGCCCTCTGTCTCTTGCTCCTTTCTTAGCACACAGCGAGAGCTCTGTCCAGATCCCCCAGTTCTGCGGTGGCTGTGGCTGTTCAGTTCCTCTGTTCTGCTCTTCGGTGCAGCCACCAAGCCCTCTCTCCAGTGGCGTTTGTGCTCAGCAGCTCCTGGGGGCGGCCAGTTCCTGTGGCCATCTGGGGCTGTGCTTTGTCTCTGGAAGGATCGTTGTTTCAGTTTTCCTCTGCGTGCCATGGGCGGTCCTGGGTACGGCGTCTCTAGAACGTAGTACCTGCGCCACTCAGATCCCAGCTCGTGTCCCCGGAGGTGGAGACTGTGGCTGGTGGTGCTAGGAGGGCTCATGCCAGCTTCTAGCTCTGGCTTCTCCTCGTGAGCGGGACAAGGGAGATGGGAGGAAAGTCCCCAGAGATGGCTTCCCTCCCACCCAAGCTCTGTTTCCTGACCTGGGATCCTGGCTCCCAATGGTGGGAAACAAACCCCCTTTGGGGACACCCCCACTTCACTGGCAGGAGTGCAGTCAGCCCTGGGATCCCGACATGACCTTCCCAAAGCACTGTGGCCTCAGTGCTTTCCAGAAGCCAACTGTGGCCTCAGTGCTTTCCAGAAGCCAACTGTGGCCTCAGTGCTTTCCAGAAGCCAGGGTATTTAATCTTGTCCATGGCGACGTGGACGCGTGTCTTGGGAGGAGCCCTCTGGGGTGGGGCAGAGGCTGTGTTAGGTGGGAGGGTCTGAGGCAGGGACCCAGGAGGAACAGAAGAGAGAGAGTGAGTGAGGCCTGCTCCATGCAGGGGCAGGGGGAGGAGGAGGCCGGGGTGGGGCCTTGGGGATTGTGGGGGGGGTGGGTGTAGGAATCCAGTACCACTTCCAGGTTCCTTCCAGGCTTGAATAACTGGGAGAAGGGGGCGTAGCTGGCTGTGATTAGGCTCTGGGAGGGGAGTCGCTTAATGTCAGGAAAGAGAGTTACTTCTAGGTAGGCCCTGGGCTTGAGGCTCCCGGGCCATGCTAAGGGACATTCCTATGTCCCTTGCAGCTCTTGGTTGGGCCTGGCACAAAAAAGTGTGTGCCCAAGACTCCTGTCTGTAGGTGGAGGTCTGCTGGAGTAGAGGTTGGGGGCACTGGCGGGGGACAGGAGCCCCACCTGGGTGCAGGAAGGCTACAAGGGCTTGGTGGAAGAGCGTGGAAGCCCCCAGAATCAGGGGCTTGTAATTCTGGCCCGTCACCCTGTGGGACAAGCACATGGGCCTCTGCATGCTGTCTCACCTCATCTGTAAAAGGGAGACAGTCCAGTGAGGATGTGGGCCCGTGAGAGAGAGACACGGCCCGGGGGGCTGCAGAGGCAGGAGCGCTGTGGGTGGGAGGGCTGCTTCCTGGGCTCTGAGTACAGCACGGTGCATTTACTACTCTTGTCTCAAAAAGCAGGGAAAACTGAGTATTCCGGCCACGCCACGCCACGCCACGGGGTGGGGAGGAGCCTGGCCTTGCCGCTCCCTGCACTCTCCTCTGCGCTCACTTAGCTCAGAGCTGGCGGCCGCCCAGCTCCCAGTGAGACGTGGCAGCCAGGAGGCTGAGGCCCAGCCAAGCCCCAGATGGCTGGCGAGAGGTGCTTCCCCCGAGCTGAGCAAGACAAGGACAGGGCCGACCCGGTGGGAGGGGCAGGATGGGACCAGGAGCCCGGGAAATGCCAGTCCTGGCCCTGGCCCTGGCCGGTCTGTGTGCTCCCAGGCTGCGCCCAATCCGAAGCCTCCGTGTGGATGCAGAGCCTGAAGCTGGAGGTCTGGGCATAGGCAGGGGTGTGGGGTGTGTGAGGAACCCCCCCGCCCCACCATCAGGTTCTGCCTGGGAACTCCTGGTCCTGGAGCTGACACCCCTGCTCCGGCCAGGCCCTCCTCTGTCTCGGTGTGAGTGTGTGTGTGCACGAGTGTGAATGCGTGTGCGTCCCCTCTGCTGACACCCCTGCTCCGGCCAGGCCCTCCTCTGTCTCGATGTGAGTGTGTGTGTGCACGAGTGTGAATGCGTGTGCGTCCCCTCTGCTGACACCCCTGCTCCGGCCAGGCCCTCCTCTGTCTCGGTGTGAGTGTGTGTGTGCATGAGTGTGAATGCTTGTGCGTCCCCTCTGCTGACACCCCTGCTCTGGCCAGGCCCTCCTCTGTCTCGGTGTGAGTGTGTGTGTGCACGAGTGTGAATGCGTGTGCGTCCTCTCTGCTGACACCCCTGCTCCGGCCAGGCCCTCCTCTGTCTCGGTGTGAGTGTGTGTGTGCATGAGTGTGAATGCTTGTGCGTCCCCTCTGCTGACACCCCTGCTCTGGCCAGGCCCTCCTCTGTCTCGATGTGTGTGTGTGCATGAGTGTGAATGCGTGTGCGTCCCCTCTGCTGACACCCCTGCTCTGGCCAGGCCCTCCTCTGTCTCGGTGTGAGTGTGTGCATGAGTGTGAATGCGTGTGCGTCCCCTCTGCTGACACCCCTGCTCTGGCCAGGCCCTCCTCTGTCTCGGTGTGTGTGTGTGCATGAGTGTGAATGCGTGTGCGTCCCCTCTGCTGACACCCCTGCTCTGGCCAGGCCCTCCTCTGTCTCGGTGTGAGTGTGTGCATGAGTGTGAATGCGTGTGCGTCCCCTCTGCTGACACCCCTGCTCTGGCCAGGCCCTCCTCTGTCTCGGTGTGTGTGTGTGCATGAGTGTGAATGCGTGTGCGTCCCCTCTTCACAGGCCACTCCTGAGGAGGGAGCCCCGGTAAGGCTTTAGGCTGCTGGCTGGTTCTGGGGTTGCCATGAAGTCCTGAAATGCTATTCTATTGCTGTTTCTTGATGTATCGGGTTTCGATGTTGTCCATTGACTTCCTGCCCTGGAAGAGGAGGGTTTAGCTCACTGACAACACTGCTGCCCCTCCCAGCCCCATTCTTCTACCATAATTCTCTCACCACTTTTAGTCCATATCAGAGTTCCCCATTGTATTGGTTTCTGAGGCTGCCTGCAAATTACTACAAGCTTGCTGGTTTGAAACATTAGAATTGTATCCTCTCACGGTTCTGGAGGCTGAAATCAGTTTCAACAGGGCAAAACGCAGGTGGCGGCAGGGCCGCGCTCCCTCCGGAGCCTCTAGGGGAGGATGCGTCCTGGGCTCTTCCAGGTCCTCGTGGCAGCCAGCAGTGCTTGGCTTGTGGCCTCTTCGCTCTGGGCTTCAGGGCCGACATCCTCCATCTCCCTCTGCTCTGCCTGTACGTGGCCTTCTCCTCTGCCTGGCTCATCTTGCTCTGCCTTCCTCTGATAAAGAGAAGTGTGATTGCATTTAGGGCCTGTCTTAGTCCATGCAGGCTGCTATAGCCAAATACCATAAACGGAGCGGCTTAAAAGCATCGGAAGCTTATTTCTCACGGTTCTGGAAGCTGTGCATATGGTTGTGGTGAGGGTCTGCTCCCTGGTTCAAGAAGGCATCTTGTTGCATCCTCACATGCTGAAAGGGTGAGGGAGCTCTCTGGGGTCCCTCTGATCGGGGCACAAATCCCATTCGTGTGGATGGAATCTGGTGACATAATCACCTCCCAAAGGCCCCACTTCCTAATATATCACCTTGGGGGAGTAGCTTTCAACATCGGAATTTGGGGGGAATATAAACATTCTGTCTATCCCTGGGCCCACCCGGAAAATCCAGCAGTCACTCCATCTCAGGATCCTTGGACTCACCGCATCTACAAAGTTCTTTTTTGCCATGGAAGGTAACATTTATGGGTTCCAGGGATTGGGACCCGGACGTGTCTTCGGGGGCCATTTTTCAGCTGACCACTGCCATGGTCGTCTGACTGTTATATTTGCACCTCTGCAGCTTCTAACATTAGCCTGGGGCAGAGGGTCTAGAGTATGCCCTTAGCGGCACAGGGTTCCCATGCCCCTTCTCCCTCCTCCCCACTGCTGTCATTTCTACCTTCCCTTCAGCAAGGCAGAGTGTTGTTAAATGAAAAATGATTCAATGATACTTGTTAAAGCGCGGTAAGGCGGACTTTATTCAGGACCATGGAGATAGACACAGGAACCGCTAGAGTGGGCTCTTGCAGTCGGGGAGAGAGACTGGGCTCAACTCCGAATACAGCACGGGCGAGTGGGGGGTGATAGCCAAGGAGCAGGGTAGGGGCCAGGGGATGGGGAATTACTAAGAGCAACATCAGGGGTCGGGGATTCTAGCTAAACTCACCTAACATGATTCTAGCTGAAGACAGGCTGGGGTGACCAGACATCACCAGAGGGGTGATGGGGAGGACGAGCCTGACCAGATATCAAGGGTGATCAGATATGGAGAGATGGGGCATTCATGACTTAGCAGAGTTCTTGATAAACTGGATCTTACAAGGAAGTGGGCGAAGGAGAAGGTTCAGGAGCTGGACTAAAGTTTGGTCAAGCAGGAGAGTCCCTGTCAGTGTCCACTGTTCAGGTCCTTTGTTGTCATTGAGGCTTTGCTGGCAGGTGGATGTCCCTGTGATTCTTGGCATGCTGCTCACCACTGTCTGACCCTGGCCCATTGCTGTGCCTCTGAGCCAGGCGGCGCCTGCCCATGGGCTAGAGAGAGCAGAGTGGAGGGGCATGACCCTGCACAGGACAGAGCTGGACGAGGCCCTTCCAGAGAAGTGGCCAGCCAGAGGCCAGCTCCACCTGGGCCAGGAGCGCCAGGCCCTGGGGGAGAGGGATGGGGACGTGGCCTTCCTGTTCAGAGGGCGGGGGAGGCTCGGCCTCAGAGTGAACATCTGCTGAACATACGCATCCTCCCCTTATATAATGCTGTCTGGAAAAATGGTTTCCTGTTGTTGTTGAGATAGGAGTCAACGGGCCCTGCACTCGGTGGGTTGGGGGGTGGGGGGCTGGGGAGTGGAGAGGGTGGTCTTTGGCTCCAACCTGGGGTGGAAAGGGGCGGAGGTCCAGAGGACCCAGCCGGCAAGTGGGTTGGGGCAGGCAGGGGCAGGTGGGGTTGGGCACCCTGCTGAGCTGCTGTCCTGGGCCATGCCTCCCTGACCCCTGCAGTTTGGCCATGGTCTGGGGTGGTGGCCCTTTCACTGTCCCCAGGAGGACTAAGGCCCTGATGCCTCTGCGTCCCCAGGGCAGGGCAGTAGGGCCTCTACACCCACCTTTGAGGGACCCTGGGAAGGTCTAGAGCAGTGTGTCCCAGACTTCAATGTCATCAGACCACCTGGGAACTTGCCAAAATGCAGGTTTTAGTTCAGCTGGTCTGGATGGGGCCTGGATTCAGCATCTCTAACAAGCTCCCGGGGGCCCCCAGGCTGCTCCAGGCCACATTTTGCATAGCCAGGCTCTGCACCACCATCCCTCACCCCAGCCGGGATTCTAGCACCGGTGGGTGGCCCAGAGACGCCAATCAGATTCTTCTGTGGACTTGAACCTCTCCTTGTTCCTGGAAATCCTGAGATATTTAATGACCAGGGGAGCCCTCTGGGGCTCTCTAGGCCATACTGTACCCTGCAAGGCAGCCTATGGGGGGGCTTCGGAAAGGCTTGTAGATGCCTCCTGATCCTCCAGCTTGGAGCTGGGGGGCTGAGCCCCCAAAGACAACAAGACCAGTTCTCTGTCTTTCTTCACTGTGTTTCTGCCTTGTGGTATGAGCAAGGCATGCCTAGATCCCTGCCCGCTGGGAGCTGCAGCCTGGTGGGGGAGGAGGGCCGTCCACAGGCCCCCACAGCAGACAGCAGAGCATCTCAGCGCCTGAGCGCTGTGGGGACATGGGACGTGCAGGGAGCCCTGGGCAGGCGTAGTCCGGGGTGGTCTCTCCTGGAGGGTCCTGGGTGACAGGAAGGAGCAGTCAAGGCATCAACCTGGGCAGATCCACAGGACATTCAGGGGCACCCTTGTCTGTCCCCAGGGCCGCAGGCTACTCCCAAGGCCTCCCTGACTTGAACCCCAGAAGCCAGAGGGCAGGGGTGGGGCAGGGAGGACAGGAGGGACATGCAGTGGGGGCCTGCTGGGTCCAGGGTCCTGCCCTGCCCTGAGGCAAACCCAGGGTGTTTTGCCCTCAGAGCTCCTCCCCTATGCATTTTAAATAGAAGAAACTGAGGCACGGAGAGGTGACCCACCCGGTCAAGTGGCAGGGCCAGAGCCTTTTTTTTTTTTTTTTTTTTTTTTTTTGGAGACTGAGTCTTGCTGTGTTGCCCAGGCTGGAGTACAATGGCATGATCTCGGCTCACTGCAACTCCGCCTCCCAGGTTCAAGCGATTCTCCTGCCTTAGCCTCCTGAGTAGCTGGGGTTACCGGTGCGTGCCACCATGCGTGGCTATTTTTTTTGTATTTTTAGTACAGACAGGGTTTCACCATGTTAGCCACGATGGTCTCTATTTCCTGACCTCGTGACCCGCCCCACCTTGGCCTCCCAAAGTGCTGGGATTACAGTCAGCCCCAGCTTTCTGCAGTGTCTGGAGGGACCAGGCTTCAGGCTTGGGGGCCGGGCTAGGAAGCTGTGCACAGTTAGAGTTGAAGGTCAGGTCTGGGTCACTGTTGCCAGGGGAGCAGGTGTCTGCAGACATCTGACTGGGATGGCTTTGGGGGGACATCCTGTGACCTGGGTCCCGAAGAGGTGGCCTTTCTCCAGCTCTATCCACCAATGGCCCCAGGCCTGTGGCCACTGAAGGCAGAAGCAGTGGGACTGGGTCTGCCCCAGTGGGTGCCTGGCTGAAGTCTCCCTGCACAACCCTTGGGAGGCATGCTGGCTCCTAACTGGCCTCTACCCGGGGAACACAGAGTTTTCAACTGAATTGGTGTTTGCGCCTCTCTGCTGAGCTGGCCCATCTCTCCATGTAGCTTCCTGTGGATGGCGCAGCTGCAGAACTCCAGTCCACAGTCAGGAGGCACGGGGCTGCCAGGGCAGCGGAAGAGACCCAAGGGCAGGAACGCCCGCCTCAGCCCTCTTCGTATCTTTCCCTGGACCCAGGGCCTCACCATGGCCTGGCCTGTCCTCCTAGAAGAATGGCTGAATGAATGGGCAGCTGAGGGGGATGCTAAAGGCAGGGAACAGTACCCCGAGGGCTTCAGTGGCTGTCTGGCTCCCAGCTGGCCTAGCTGCATCCCAGGGCCCCTGGGGTGGGAAGGAAGAGGAGGCAGAGGGGCCAGGAACCTGCAGGAGGGTGGGGTTCCATGGCAGCCCGCGCCCTGCTTCCACTCAGGACGCCAGCCAGATTCATCTGCTGGGACACCACCTTAGGAAGGAGGCACTTCTCTGAGAGGCCTTGGGAATTTCCCCCAATCCACATACACATGGGCATCATGTTGGGAGAAACTGTTTTGCAAATACAATTAAAAAGGATCCTCCCAAAGTTTTGCCTAGAAAAAAAAAATGAGGCTGTCTATTATGGGGGCCTGCAGGCATGGTCATCGCATTGCAGGAGCTCCTGTGGGCTCTGGTGCCCCTGCACCCTTGCTCGTGAACAGTGGCGGCTGCCCGTTCCTGTCCTCAGCCTGCCCAGGGGCTGCGCGGCTCCCCTTCCAGCTGGCGTGCGTGACCTTTCCAGCTGGCATTTCGAGTGCTCTCTCTGGGCACCGCTGAGCTCCACGGATCCCCAAGGCGGTCATTTGTCAGATGGTCCTGGTGACTCCCGACATCCCATCAGCGTCTCCTGCTGCTAAGACAATTGTGTCAGACAACTCTCAGCGCCTGTCTTCCCACCTCCACCGAGCAGCCTGAATGCTTTACTAACTGGGGAGAAATCAGAGCACCGGATCCTCCACTTAAACCCCTGTTTTCTCCTTGTTGTCGCTCCAGAAGGCGGCAAACTTGGCCCACTCTGCACCACAGGGACCTTGGCAAGGAAACCTTACACCATCCTGAAGTAGGGGAAGGGAGCCTCGGGAGGGCCGGCGACCTCCCGTACTCAACTCCATGCCTGTGAGATGCCAGGCACTGGTCTGGTGACGTGGACCCAGCAAGGACAACTTTGCTCTCGTAAGATCCCTGGTCAGGGGGCAGAGAGTGACCCAATAAAGAACCCACGTGTCGATGATTGGGAAATGGTGTTACAAAAAAATAGGACAGGATGGCAGTGTGGAGTGTGATGGAGAAGGGACACCCTTCACCAAGGTCCTTGTGAGGAGGCATCGGAGCTAGGACCTGGACTTCTGGAAGAAGGCCATTCCAGGTGGAGGCAGCAGCAGGTGCAAAGGCCCTGAGGCAGGTGCTGAGTTGAAGTGTGCCAAGGACACAGAGGAGATCTCCACGGCTGGCACTTGAGTGAAGGAGAAATCAGCGGGGACCGGGGCAGTCATGTGGTGGGAAGCCGCTGGAGGGCTTTGGGCAGGCAGTGACAGGTCTGAGTCGTGTTTCAGAGATTCTGTGGGGCAGCCGTGAGGAGCATAGAGAATGAGGTCACAGGCTTGGGACGCCCGGGCTCCCAGCCTGGCATACGTGATGGTGCTATTAGTGGATGGTGCAGCATGACCCGGGAAGCCCCTGCGTGGTGGTGCCCCCCGGACCGGGCTGTTGAATGCTCATGGGCAGAGCTGCTTCTGTGTCATGGAGCTGTCCTGGAGTGCTGAGCAGTGGCCACCCAGGGTTGGCCGGGTGCTCGAGCCCTGAGAGGGCCGGTGGACCTCCTGTGGGCCCCAGGTCTTGCCGTCCCTGAAGGCTGAGGCTTGCAGGGTGCGATGCTCTCACAGCACTGCTGGGGCAGATGGCGGAGCACAGCAGGGCAGGGGCGCGTGGGCCGGGGCAGCTCTGCAGTGCGGGCCCCCTGTGTCTGTCTCATGCTAGCAGGGCGAGGGTCTGGGCCGGGCTTAGGCTGGCTGGCCACTGACTTCCCCGAGAGGTTCTTCTTACTCGGCTGCCCCTCTACTACGTGCTGGCCTCACCTCCAAGGACTCAGGCCCAGGGTTGATCCTGCCAGGGCCACAACAGATGTGGGACTGGCCCTGGTGGCCAATTCCCCACCCAGCAGAAGACTGCCCTGCCCTCTCATCCCTCAGGCTGTGCTCCTGTCAGGCCTGGTCCTGGAATAAGAGCCATGTCCTCAGAGCCTGTGGGAGCACTTGGTGCTATGAGACTCGATCTCATGGAGTTGCTTCCTTCCTGGGTGTCCTTTCCCTGGTTGAGTTCATCTGCCTGGCTCTCTGCTGGCACCGGGCTTGGCACTGGAGATCAAAGCTTCATGAGGCTGGAGCAGGAGGGCCCCCGCTTCCCCTAGGCTTTAGGGGCCAGTCACCCTTCCTGGACATCCACCTTCCCCAGGAACACGGGTTTTGGGGAAGCTCTCTGGGGCCCTTTCCTGCCCTGGCCTGAGGGTCTGTGCTGGGTGCTGGGTGTGTACAGAGGTGCTGTCTAGGACTCAACCCAAGGTTGAGTAGGAGTCGTGAAAATGCTCCTTATTTTAGGGGAAAACAGTTTCTCAGGATGCGGTATTGTGTTAGCTTTAGTTTTTTTGTAGATATTCTTACCAGGTTGAGCACGTTTCTTTCTCTGTTAGTTGAGAGTTTTTAATTTTTAGTCATGAATGAATCATATCATATGGTTTTCTCTATCACTTGATATAAGCATATTTTTTTTCCTTCTTCAGTCTGTTAATATGCTGGGTTACACTGACTTTTGGATATTGTGCCAGACTCTGCAAATCCAGGACAAACATGACTTGTCTGTTGTGCACTCTGCTGTTTATACATGGCTGGACTAGACTTGCCAGTGTTTTGCTGAGGATTTTTGTGTCTATGTTCATTGAGGGATATTGGTTTATAGGTTCATGAGGGATATTGGTTTGTAGGGTTTTTTTTTTTATTGAACTGTCTTTGTCTGGTTTTAATATCAGGGTAATGTTGACCTCATAAAATGAATGGGAGAATTGGTGCCATTTTTTCCTGAGAGGTTAGTAGAATTTTCCAGTAAAACCGTCTAGACCTGGAAATTTCTTTTTTGCAGGATTTTAAACTATGAATTCTTTTTCTTTAATAGTTACAGAACTTTTTATGCTATCTACTTTGTCTTGGGTAAGTTTTGGTAGCTTATAGTTTTTGAGGAAATCATGCATTTCTTCAACACTGATGGATTTATATGCATAGAATTGTTTATACTATTCCATTATCTTTTTTATGGCTGTGATGTCATTAGTGATATCCTTTTTAAAAATATTCTGATACTGGTAATTCATATTTTTTTCTGTTTCTCTTCTTCAGTCTCACTAGAGATTTATCAGTTGACTGATCTTTACAAAGAACCAAATTTGGTTTCATTGATCTTCTCTATTATTTTCATATTTTCAGTTTCATTGATTTTTACTCTTATCATTTCCTCCCTTCTACTTGCTTTGGGCTTATTTTGCTTTTTCTATTTGAGCATGTTTTGGTATTCAATTTTAATTTACCTATTGTGTTTGGTTGTATATCTTTGTATAGTGTTTACTGGTTGCTCCAGGGATTATAATAAACCTATATAACTCTTCAGAGTCTTTTTCAAATCAATATTTTACCACTTCAAGTTGAATGTTGAGACCCTGCCATCATATAGGTCCCTCTGTCCTCCCCTGAATGTTGTTGTCTTTTATACACCTACATACATGGAAAACTACATCAGACAGCATTATCATTCCTCTTTAAAATACGCAAGAGCCTAATCTGTTATATTTTTTCAGGTATTTCTGTTGCTCTTCCTTTATTCCTGATGTTCAAAATTTCTTTCTAGCATCATTTTCCCCCTGTCTGAAGAACTTCCTTCAGCAACCATCTTAGGGTAGATCTGCTGGCCACACATTCTATAAGTTTTGCTTCATCTGAGAATGTCTTTATTTCTCCTTAATTCTTGAAGTGTATTTTTGCTGGAGATAGAATTCTGGGTTGACAGTTCTTTTTTTTTTTTTTTCAGCATTTTAACAATGTTTTGCACTTCCTTTGGACTTCACAGTTTTGATAAGAAATCTGCAGTTATCTGAACCATTTTTCCCCTATAAGTAATGCACTGTTTTTCTCTGACTGCTTTCAAGACTTTTTTTTGTCTGTAGTTTTCAGAGTGTGTTTATAACGTGTGGGATTGTGTTTCCTTGGATTTCTCTCATTTGAGGTTTGCCGATCTGTTGAATTGGTAGGTTTATGCATTTCACAGAATTTGAGAAGTTTTCAGCCATTATTTATCCAAATATTTGTTTAGTAATACATTCTTTCTCTTCTCCTTCTGGGACATGACTGTTAGTTAGATCTTTCGGTATTTTCCCACAGTCTCTAAGGCTCTTGGCATTATAAAATATTTTTACTCGCTGCAGTTTGAATTGGGTAACTTCTATTGCTCTATCCTCAAGTTCACTGACTCATTCCTCTGTCATATCCATTCTGCTCTTGAGCCTATCCAGTGAGTTCTTAAAGTTTCTGTTATTGTATTTTTCAGTTCTAAAATTTCCGTTTGGTCCTTTTTAAAAATATGTCTTCCGTTTCTTGCTGAGACTATCTTTCCATTAGTTGCCAGAGTTTTTGCCCTTACTTTATGGAGTATTTTTATAATAGCTGCTTTAAGATCATTGTCAGTTAATTCCAACATATGTGCTATCTCAGTCTTGTTATCTGTTGGTTGTATTTGCCTGGAGGAGTTGAGATTTTCCTGGTTCTTGGTATGCCAAGTAATTTTGGACTGTATCCTGGACACTTTGATATTACCCTATGAGACTTTGGATCTTGTTTAAATGCTATGGAGAAGGTCATTATTTTTGTTTGATCAGGTAATTAACCCTTGGGTTAATTGGGTTCCGGCTGCAAGTTCCAATGTGCCTGTGGATTGCGGTTCAATGTCAGGTCCATTTTCAAAGCCTGTGCAGTCCTATTCTGATCAATCCCATGTAAACACAACCCAGTGGCACGTCTGGGACCTGGGCATTGGTCCACCTCCTAAGTCAGTCCCCAGAACCTATGGCGTGTTGTTTAGGGTCAGACCCACTCGTGCACGGCTCAAGCACGAGCCCAGGAGTTTCTAACCAACTTTCTGATGCCAGTTCCCCAAGCTCTGCTGTCTCTGCCATCTTCCTAGCCCTGTCCAGTTTCCTGCGGCTCCTTGTTAAATCTCTCTGGCCAGAAAGCTGGGGCTTTATTGACCCTGCTGTCTTGCACACTTCCTGCAACTACACTCCTGGGAGGACCAAAAGAGGAAAGAGCAATGGGGTTTCACTCCACCTTTCTAGGACCACAGCACTTCCAGCTACACAGCCAGGCTCCCCTCTTAGAGTTTTAGGTGCCTGTGGGCTGCCATGAGCTGGCGTGTGAGAACACGAAGAAAAGAAAAAGGAAATAGGAAAGAAAAATGAGGTGTTGGCTTGGCTCTGAGCATTCGGAAATGCTTTTTCTATCCTTGAGCTACAACAACAGGGCTTGTCTCGAGCTCTGTCTGTCTGTACCCAGTGCCCGCTTCTGGAGTTTGACCTGCCTTGTATCTAGGCTGAGGAATACCAGAGAATGAAGAGTAAACTCTGCGGGTTTGCTGAACCTCACATTCTAGTCTTCTTCCCCAATCTGCATGCTGTTATTTATTTTGCAGGGTCCTCAGCTAGCTGCTCATGAATCCAGTGCATTTGGGTGGCTGCAGGCAGTGGGGGATGCAGGTGAGGCGTGCTCACACCATCCTACTGGAACCTGAACCTTCTCCTAGGGACCTCTCTATGTGTTGAGCGGTTTATAATCAGGGAGGGACTTCTACCAGCAGAAATACAGCCATAGGCAGATCCCTGCTGAACAGGAATTTCATAGAGAGAGGGAGGGAGATCCTGCCCCCAGCAATTCTCACAACATGCCCAGAGCAACTGACAGGGGAATCAGGTCTCTTCCACCCTCCAGGGGCTGCCCACTGCACAGAGGAGAAAATCCAATCTCCTCCCCACAGCAGAGGAAGCTCTGTGCAGTCTGCCCCCGCCCACCACTCTGACCTCCTGTACCCCACCCAGGCCCACCACTCTGCCCTCCTGTACCCCACCCAGGCCCACCACTCTGCCCTCCTGTCCCTCGCCCCCGCCCACCCTTTGCTCTCCACACTCCACTCACATTGGCCTTCTTCCCTTTCCTCAAACATGGCAGGTCTGTTCTGACCTCGGGTCCTCTGCATGTGCTGTTCTCTGTGCTGGAGCCCACTTCCCCAGATCTCTCCATCGCTGCCTCTTTCCAATCATTTAGGCCTCAGCTCCAGTGTCATCTCTTCCAGGAAGTCCCCCGCCCCCCTCAACAATACTCTGTGCTGTTGTCCTCACGGCTGCGTCACTCTCTGTCGACTTCCTCTTTGCTTGCTTACTGCCATTTGCCCCCCCGGGAGATAGCACCCAGGGTCTGCATTCAGCCACAGGTCGCAAATGTGAATGCACCTTTGTGGCCACATCTATCGGTGCTGCTGGCAAGGTGGAGGTTGGGAAGCCGGACCCACTGGGCCACAAGTCCTCAGGGCTCCTTCCTGGTCCAGAGGACCCCCAGGAGGAGGCAGCTCTGCCTCCGCAGAGAATCTTGCTGCAGTTTGGGTTGTCCGGGGCCTTATCACTCCCCCGCTTTTTTTTTTTTTTTTTTTTTTTTTTTTGAGACGGTCTTGCTCTGTCGCCCAGAGCAGCTGGGACTACAGGCGCCCCCCACCACGCCCGGCTAATGTTTTATATTTTTTTAGTAGAGACGGGGTTTCACTGTGTTAGCCAGGATGGTCTCCATCTCCTGACCTCATGATCCGCCCACCTCAGCCTCCCAAAATGCTGGGATTACAGGCATGAGCCACCGCACCCGGCCATCACCCCCGTCTATTTTCATACATGCAGTGGGGTGAGAGGCAGAAGTCCCGGCTTCTGCTCCTGTGTGGCTTCCTACTCACTCTACACTCCCCTTCCTGACGCTGGCCAGAGGCTGGCGGAAGGGCTGTGCTGGGCCAGGACTGGCTTGCAGTTCCTCTGCAGGGAGTCCCGGAGCCTGGGGCCTGAGGGCTGCCTTGGAAGGGCACCCAGGGGCGAGGTGTGCAGGCTGACTGTTCCCAAGCAGCTGGGGGCCTGCCCTCGCTCCTCTCCCGGGCACAGCACGCTGTGAGCGGGGCATCCCGCACGCCCTGCTGCCACCGGCTCTCCGGCTGCACTCCTTCTTCACACGCTGGATGAGAGGACACTGCTGGGGCAGCAGGGCACATGGTGCAGGGGTCCTGCCCTCATTTGTGTCTTTTCCCAGAGGATGGGTTGTCTCCAAGTTCTGCGTCAAAACTGAAGTTCAGCATACTTAAGCCCAGTGGTTCACAAAGGAGATGCTTGAAACCCACTTCTCTCCCCCAGTTACTCAGGTGCTGCCCAGTGGAGAGAGATCTGTGCACACAGCCTTGTCTCCCTGCGGCATCTGGGCGCCACAGGGCAGCCCTCAAGAGATGCCCCTGTCCCAGTGCGGGGCTGGGGAGGAGCCCAGCCCTGTGCGAGCAGATCCGGATCCACCACTCATTAGCTGTCTAATCCTGAAAGAGTCATGTCATCTCTTGGAGCCTGTTTCCCAATCTGTAAAATGGGCATAATGATACTGAGCTCACTTCCTTTGCCTTCATTATCTTATTTTCAATCCCTTGACAACTCTGTAAAGTAGGTAATATTGTGCCATTTTAGACACGGAAAAGCAGAGGTCGAAAGAGGCCAAATAGCCACAAGTGACAGAGTGGGGATTTAAGTCTAAAGATCTCAAGTTTCGGCTGGGCTCAATTCTTTCCTTCAGCCCAGGATGTTCAGGGATGACAGCCAGGCTGGGCCCCTGAGCAATGCCCTCTGCTGTCTTTTTTTTTTTTTTTTTCCTGGGGGACAGGAGCGAGCAGAGCCTCCAGAACCTTTGCCCAGATCACAGTAGGCGGTTCTTGCAGCTGGGACCAGTTCCTCCCACTTGGACAGAGTGAGGAGTCCAGGCTTCACTGAGGCCAGGAGGGGGCTGGCCGCCGGCTCCAGACTGGGGAAGCCTGTGTTTGGGGCTTGTGCTCAGTGTGTGGGGACATCCTCCGGCCTCTGTCCTGCGGGACCTCTCCGACTTTTAATTGGCTTTCTTCTGGCTCCGCGTAGATGAAGAGTTTTTGCCAGAGCCAGAGCCATAACGGTTTATCTGTCTGCTGGCTTGCGTTTCTCAGACTGTTACTGAATTAAGTTGTATGTATGAAGACTCTTAAATAAAATAATATCATCGTGTTTATTCGGAGCTTGGCCTTAAAGTGCACTTTTGAGTGTGCACATCATTCTTCTTAAACCAGGGCCTCCTTTATAAGGGGATTTATCTTCACTTTGAGAAACGTCTGCTAAAGCCTGCTGTGCCAAAGTCCTCATGCTTACTGCTAGAGCCACAGAAGTGAAGGGGGGTCTGGCTTGTCCTCAGGCAGCTCAAAGTCAGGGGGACGGGGACAAAAGACCAGCCAAAAAGTGTTGCAAAGACATCAATGGGTGCTATAAGAGGATGCTATTCTTTTGTTTCTTTAGTTTTCCATTGTTTACAATTAAACATTATTCACAACAACTGACAAAACATGATTCACAATAATTTACATTATTCACAATTAAAAATTACTTTTGAACATACAAAACATATGGTCATTATCATTGAATAATGTAGAAAAGTATTAAGGAGAAAGCAAAAACCATGAAATCCTACCCTTTTGAGATAGTCTCTGTGAGAGACAGAATAATCCTTCTCCCAAAGTTGTCCATGTCCCAGTCCCGAGAACCTGGGAATAAATCAGGTGACATAGCAGGGGCAGTGAAGGTTACAGATGGAAGTCAGGTTGCTAATTAGTTGACTTTTAAGATAAGGAGATTATCCTGGATGGCACAGTGTAATGGCAAGGATTCTTCTTTTTTTTTTTTTTTTTTTGAGACGGAGTCTCACTCTGTCGCCCAGGCTGGAGTGCAGTGGCATAATCTCAGGCTCACTGCAAGCTCCACCTCCTGGGTCCAAGTGATTCTCCTGCCTCAGCCTCCAGAGTAGCTGGGACTACAGGCGCCTGCCACCACGCCTGGCTAATTTTTTGTATTTTTAGTAGAGACGGGGTTTCACTGTGTTAGCCAGGATGGTCTCCATCTCCTGACCTTGTGATCCGCCCGCCTCAGCCTCCCAAAGTGCTGGGATTACAGGTGTGAGCTGGCCATGACAAGGATTCATAAAAGTAGAAGATGGAGGCAGAAGTTCAGAGTCAGAGAGGGGTCAGTAGATGCTCCGGTGCTGGCTTTGAAGATGGAGGAGGGGGCCACAAGCCAAGGAATGTGGGTAGCCTCTAAAAGCTGGAAAAAAACAAGGAAACATTCTCCTTAGAGCTTCCAGAAGGAATGCAGCCCTCCCCACACCTTGATTTTAGCCCAGTGAGACCCATTGTGGACTTCAGATCTCTAGAACTGTCAGATAATAAATGTGTGTGTGTGTGTGTGTGTGTGTGTGTGTTTGAGTTGGAGTCTTGATCTGTTGCCCAGGCTGGAGTGCTGTGGTGTGATCTTGGCTCACTGCAAGCTCCGCCTCCTGGGTTCACACCATTCTCCTGCCTCAGCCTCCCAAGTAGCTGGGACTACAGGCGCCCGCCACCACGGCCGGCTGATTTTTTGTATATTTAGCAGAGACAGGATTTCACCGTGTTAGCCAGGATGGTCTCCATCTCCTGACCTCGTGATCCGCCCGCCTCAGCCTCCCAAAGTGCTGGGATTACAGGCGTGAGCCACCGCGCCTGGACAAATTTGTGTTTTTAAGCCACTACATTTGCAGTAATTTGTTACAGCTATACAAACTAACCGTTTTTCCATCTTGTTACATATATGTCACACTCAGAAGTGAGATCTTGTCACTCATGCTATTTGTATCAACATCTTTAGGTTTATGGTTGCTCTCTCTTCTGCCCTCTTGACTGGAGCACTGGCTTCATTTATTTTCACTCTGGTCTATAATTAAGAAGGTTGTGAACTTGCTTCTGGTGGTGGCTTTGGTCTCATCCACAGGTTCTGATGTGCTGAATTCTCACTGTCATCATTTTAAAAAGATTTATGATTTTGATTCCAGTAACTTAAGAGCTATTTAGAGGAATGTTGAAAAAACTTCCGAGTGGTTGGATTTTAGGTTATTAAGCTTTGCGTTGATTCCTAGTATAATCCAAATGTTTTCAGACCTTAGCATCTCTGGGTTTAAATTGGGTCTTGTCAGCATTTATATCTGCATCTTGCCATTCCAGTGACACCCCACCCCTAACCAGCGCAGATCTCAGTTTCCTACAAGGGCTTGTGAATGCCTCCCCCTCAACCCCTCTAGCATTTCTAGGCATCTCCCAGTTCCGTAGAGCCCGTCCACACCCCTCCTGCCACGTGTGTATTCTGAGCATCCCAGGCTCTGCAGGTGTCCCTCCGTTCAGGCTGCCATAACAAAATATCACAGACTGGGTGTTTAGAAACAACAGAAGTTTATTTCTCACAGTTTTGGAGTCTCACATGTGAGATCGGGGCGCCAGTGGGTTTGGTGTCTGGTGAGGGCTGCTTCCTCGCTCATAGCTGGGGCCTTCTTGCTGTGTTTGCACACAGTGGAGGGTGCACAAGCTCCCTGGGCCTCTCTGATAAGGGCACTAATCCCATTAACGGGGTCCCCACCCTCATGACCTCATCACCTTCCAAAGGCCCGCTTCACACCATCACCTTGGGACAGGAAGAGCTCATCTCCATGGAGGCTTGGCAGGGCCAGGCCTGCCACAGAGTTAGGAGTGAAGGGGACAGCCTGGGTTCCCCGAGCCTCGGGGAATTTCTGAAATTGCCTCTGTCTCCTGGTGTTTGCTCAGCTTCTATGAATGTCAGGTGGGCTTCTGAAGGGAGCACGGAATCTGCGTTGCAGGGTCACTGTGGCACGAGGGGACCCTGGCCTCTGGTGCTGTGGAAACCGGAGCAGCTGGGGGCGGCCAGAGAGAGGCTGAGCAGGAGGGTGTGGAGGTCCCCGGGGCCCTGGGGAGGAGGGACAGAGGCCATGGGCATTGGTGCGTGGGAGGGAGCAGCAGAGGCCAGCCTGCTGAGAAGGGCTGTGAGGGAAGGGAGGTCCTGTGGCTGGAGGGGAAGCAGAGTCTTCTTGTTCAGGATTGAAGAGACCCGGTTCTGTTGTTGGGCTGAGAGAGGACTTTAGAGAGGAGGAGGCCGAAGACGCAGCAGGGGAGGCGAGAAGGGACTTGTGGAGAGCCCTGAGGGAGCTGGTGGTGGGCAGTGGGTTGTCTCGGCTCAGAGCAAGAGCTCTCCGTCCTCTGGGATTATAGTGGAGGGCGTTGGGGGCACTCTGCCAGTGACTTCATCAGTAGGGGTGGGGAGTTGGCATTATGCCCCATGATGCAAGGGCCCAAGTCACCCTGGAGAGGGAAGCCGGGGTCTTGAGGGAGGGTCCTGGGAGACATGGGGCCTCAGCGTATTGGGGAAGGGAACAGTCAAGAGAAAGGGGCAGGCTGTGGGGAGGGCCTTCTGGCTGGACAGTACTAGCAGGGAGTGGGGCAGAAGGGGGTCCCCATACCAACTTCACCTCTTGGTTCTTGGTGCCGAGAAGCAGCAATCTCAGGTTTCTGCATTGCCAGGCAGGTGGGGTGGGAGGCTACGGCTGACAGGCTTGGGGGATTCAGGCCAGGCAGGCAGGGGAGGCCGGGATCAATTTTTGTAAATGCTCCCCCATGCTTGTAAAGAATACTCATTTGCTTTCGGTTGTAAGTCGTCAGATCCATCCAGAAATCAATCCGGCCCATTTCCCGAGTCAATGAGTCTGTGCCCCTCTGCTGTGGTCTAGGAGACCTGTCACCCACTGGGAGTGGCCGTTCGCATTTCCCTTTGACAGGGCTGTTGAGCCACTTGTGTTTCTAACCATGGCAGATGCTGCGGCCCTTGGTTTGTAAAGCTTGGTGACTGTGTGCTTTCACCAAGCCTTGTCAATACAACAGGAGTTTCCAGTCATTTAGTACTTGCTCTGAGTTCTATTTTGATGATACTACAGACACCCTGCTTTCTGGGTTTGCAGTTTTCTCTGTCTCTCTTTTAGCATGTTTCAGGCATGTGTTACAGACGGCATGCCTTGTTTGTTCCATCTCAGTCTGGTTGATCTCTAACTGCAATGTTAAACCCATTGATGGTTGTGTTAGTGATACCAGTGGCCCGTCCTTTTTTCGGCCTGCACCTTTGCATCTTTATGCTTGACTTGTCCCCTGTCCACCCTGGGAGCAGGCAGGCAGCTGGTCTTCCCAGGCACCACCCTCCTGACCCACAGCACGCAGCAGCCTCTCTCTGCCCGCCGCCTCTCCCTCCTGCCCTCTGCCCAGGCCGCCCCTGGGGACCTTACCCACTGAGCCCATCTCCACCTGCCTTGCGGTCCTTCCTTATCCGAGTCGGATGCCACTGGTCCTCTTTGCTGTACTTGCTCCCTGCCTGTACCACTGTCTCCCGCCTCCTGCTTTCCTTGCTGAATTGCTGGGTCCAGCCCCATCCCTCCTCCCTTACTTTCCTGCCTCCGAGCAGGGGCCCCAGCCTCGCTGAAGGATCTACTTCGACATTCCTGACTGCTGGCCTCTGCAGGCAGCATCCCCCCTTGGGACCTTCCCGCTCCCTGCTCACCCACCTCCTTGCTCACCCACCTCCCCCTCCTCCGAGCACAGACAGGCCCCGGCATTGCCCCTGCCCGTCCCTTGAGCTCCGGCTGCTCCCGGGTCCCATCATTGTCAGCATTCTCAGAAGCACAGCCCCTGCCGCCACCTCCTCCATGGCTCTCTGGCATCACCCAAAGCGTCTGCTGAGGTCCCACGGACCACAGAGGTGTGGATCCTGTGGTCATTCTCCTGTCCCCACGGCTCAGGCCTCCCCCATCCTCCTGCTTCACCATCACTGCATCGTCCGAGGCACCGCCAGCTCCTCGGTTTGCTCTTCCCCTGGGCTCTGCACCTTGGCACGTGCTGTGTGGCTGAGCAGGACCCTCAGTCTCCTGGACCACAGCCAGAAAGGCATTTCCTCCTGCAGTGGGGCGTCCTGGGTTGGAGGAGCCTTCCCTCCTCATGGCAGCCTCCTTCCACAGCCCCACCTGTCTCCACGCCTCCCTTGCTCCCAGCACAGGCCCCACTAGTGGTTTCAGCGGAATATGGAAGGGCTTTTGAGGACGTGTGTGGAAGGTGGCCTTGGTGGCTGCTCCTGAATCCCTTCCAGAGCCTCCAGCTCCTCCCACCCCGACTCTCACTTGCGGGACTGCCCCAGCCGCCATGGACGGGGCTCCTCTGCCCTGCTCAGAATGTTCTGGACCAGCCTGGGACTTTGTGTCCTGAGTCTGTGGTGGTTGCAGGGAACTGGCTCACCCGTGTGCTTCAGGGTGGAAATTGGGCTGGAGTGTGGAAGTCCCATCCCAAACCCTAGAGATGGGACCAGCACCTGGACTATGAGAGTGAGGGCTGCCTGGTCGGGCTACAGGGCATGTCGGATCAGTCAGGGGCCTGGGACACATAAGGGATCAACAGAAAGGAGTTGACAAAGGCACAACTCACAGAGCTGCGGGCAGGACGAGGGAGCTTGCAGGGCGGGGAGGCTGGGGGCCACCACAGCGGGAGAAATAAAACCTTCTGTCTCTCTCCCCAGCCCTGGTTTCCTGTCGGTGCCCCCCTTCACCCAGGGAGAGCCAGGAGGAGCCAGTCCATCAGGTCTGCCTACTGGGCTGTAGGACAGGGCAGAAGGTGAAGGGGTGGGGAGCCCAACAGAGACCCGCCAGCCCAGAACATCAGCCTGGAAGGAAGGGACGCAGGGACCTGGTTCTTCTCTGTGTCTTTTCAAAGCCAGGTTTCCTTTCTAATCCAGAATCTATTTATTCAGCCAGGCCTGGTGCCAGATGCTCTCAGGCTCTGAGGATGACAGACAAACCCAGCAGCCTCCAGTAGGGTGCTCAAGGCCTGGTTTTGAAGTGGAAACAATGATCCATGCGGCCAGTGGGAACCCGCCAAGTTCCCCACAGGCCCGTTCGCCTAGAGGCAGTAGTTGAGAGCGACAGGAGGGCCTCCATGCCAGGAGTCTGCACAGTGACTCTTCCTTCCTTCTTTAGACTGCCTCAGAGGCTGTCAGCATTTGGGGTGGAAAAGAGTTGTCCTGTTGAGTGTATACATGACCTAAGTCTACTGGAGACTCAATGAGGGAATTGAAGGATTTTTCAGGGAAAATGTTGACATTTCCTGCTGACCCTAGAAAGCAAGCCCCTCCGCTTGGCCAGCAGGAAGTTTCTCTGGCATCAGGGGCAGGCCACCTTGGAAGCTGGGCACACGGGGCAGGGGCCACCCTGCGGATGTGGGTGCAGCCCTGCGGGGAAGCTGCAGTGGGGGCGGGGGCAGGGCTTGGGGTGGCCCTTCCACTCCCCAAGTCTGTGGGTGCCCAATCTCCAGACCACCATTCCGGACCTCCACAAGCTGCCTCCTTGGGCCACGTGGGTGGGTCAGACTTGCATGGGTGCTCAGCATCCCTGGGTCGGGTTGATCCTGGCACCCCCTAGGGTGGGTCTGCTGGGCAGCCCTCGGAGCCTGGACAGAGCTTCTAGCCATGCACCCATCTTCCCTGTTCATGGGATTGAGTCACCAAAGGAAGGGCATTCATTAAAAATAATTGGCTGGCTGGACGTGTTTCTGGGCTGTCAGCTCTGACTGTAGGCTGCGTGCCTTCATCAACATCTTTCTCCCGGTTCCCAGTCATATTTTTTCTTTTTGAAAGTGTCTTTTTCTGTTACCCAGGCTGGAGTGCAGTGGCAGCATCTTAGCTCACTGCAGCTTGGACCTTCAGGGTTTAGGTGATTCTCCCACCTCAGCCTCCCAAGTAGCTGGGACCACAGGCATGCACCACCACACCCAGCTAATTTTTAAATTATTTGTAGAGATGAGGCCTCACTATGCTGGTCTGGAACTCCTGGGCTCAAGCAGTCTTCCTGCCTCGGCCTCCCAAAAGTGCTGGGATTGCAGGCCCCAGTTCCCAGTCATTAAGTGGAATGTTTGAGATGCACAAATACCTTAAAACAAAAAAACAAAAAAACAAAAAAACCTTGGCCAGGTGCGGTGGCTCACACCTGTAATCTCAGCATTTTGGGAAGCCAGGGCAGGCGGATCACAGGGTCAGGAGTTCGAGACCACCTAGCCAATGTGATGAAACCCCATTCTACTAAAAAAATACAAAAAAAAAAAAAATTTAGCTGGGTGTGGTGGCGTGTGCCTGTAATCACAGCTACTCGGGAGGCTGAGACACGAGAATCACTTGAACCCAGGAGGTGGAGGTTGTGGTGAGCCCAGATCATGCCACTGCACTCCAGCCTAGGCGACAGAGCAAGACTCCATCTTGAGAAAAACAAACAAACAAAACCCTACCCTGGAATGCCAACTCCGGTGCTTGTCTTGGGCTGGGATCTATGGGGCACTGGCCTGTTCTGGCCTAGCAATGGGAGGCTGATGTCCCACGCTTGTCCTGGGCTGTGGCCCGGAGGCGTTGGCACACTCCAGTCCACATGGGAAGGCCATGTTCCCTATCTGTCTAGCTCAGCGCACGGCTCTGACTCACTGCAGTTAGCAGGGAAAATACTCTTCACATTGAGATGTCAGTTTTCACTTCAAGCCTGATTTCTGATCCATAAACAAAGCCTGCAAGAATCAGAGGCTGCTCATGTGGGAGTCAGCTAATTAATCTGACTTTCCTCAAGGAAGGCACAGGCCGCTGCCTCTTTTGTGAAGATTAGCACTTTTTAAGGACGTGTGAGTCTGTCAGGACAAAGCAACACCAATAACGTTCCTTATTTTCGGGGAGCAGAGGAAAGTGGGGTCAGACTGTCTTCCCCGTGGACAAGGAGGAGCGGCTTCAGGTTAGCACTTACACCAGTGCTGTGAGTGAGAAGCTGTGGCTGTCACCAAGGTGAGGTCATGGCTGCAGGAAAGACGCTTCCCACCCTCTCCCCCCAACAACAGAGGATGTCCCAAGCCCAGGGGACCGGCCAGCGTAGCTCCTGACAACCTCTAGGAAAACAGGAGGGCTTCTCTTTGGATGGCAAAACTGACCTCAACTCACTTAAGCAGAAGACAATTCAAGGCAGGCTATTGGGGGGCTGGGGCTGGAGGCCTGGAAATGGGGTACCTTGGAGGGCCCCAGCCAGGACCTCAGGAAGCCGTCTGGGCAGTGGTCTGCACTCCAGGGTGGGGTGGGAGCTTGGATTGGCCCTGCTTACAATGGGCTTCTCTCTCAGATGTATCTTGCAAGGAGAGAGAGTCACCTTGGGCAAGCTGACTCCCACCCACCCAGGCCCCTTCCTGACAGTCCTTCTAGGCTGTTCCCAAAGGCATGGCTGGCTGTCCCTAGGATACATGGGGCCCTGGGCATATATTTCCTGCAGGACTCCTGTCTATATAGACAATTTGATTAAAAAATTTATAACAAGATTCATGAGCCCACATGGGGAATAGCAAGATGTATCAAGGAAGATTTAGGGGACGGGGAGGAGAAGCACGAACACATTTGCTCACTGTCTGCTCAGTGCATGCAGAGACCCTCGTTACTGCTCAGGCTCAGGAGCTATCTCTTCCTGTTCTTTATGGTCGAGTGTGCTGTCCCAGCTAATTTCATATTTATATCTCCCACAGCTGGGGGGTAATAGCAAAGCTGTTACCGCTCACAATGTGTGGCTCTTTGGAACCTGTTTGTGTGGAGATGCTGTATATCTTCTTGCCCCGCATTCCCCAGCCCCATGTATTTAGTGCTGGTTGTGGCATTTCTCCTGACTCCGCCGCTTCTCTCTGCCCCCGGGAATGCCGGCTTCCGTTGTTCCCTTGAAGGTGGTTACCGTGCTTCATTAATGATGACCACCAATGTGGATCTTGCCCAGAGTGTGCAAGAAAATGTGAGCCATACGTCCTCATCTGGTCGTGTTAAATTTAATGTTTGGGCCAGGTGTGGTGGCTCACATCTGTAATCCCAGCATTTTGGGAGACCAAGGCAGTAGGATTACTTGAGCCCAGGAGTTCAACATCAGCCCTGGCAACATAGCAAGACCTCATTTCTACAAATTTTTTTTTTTTTTTAAATTAGCTAGCTGTTGTGGCACACGTCTGTGGTCCCAGCTACTTGGGAGGCTGAGTTGGGAGGATCACTTGAGCCCAGGGGGTCCAGGCTGCAGTGAGCTGTGTTTGAGCCACTGTACTGCAGTGGGTGACACAGTAAGATCCTGTCTCTAAATAAATAAATAAATAAATAAATATCGTTTGGACCTTTATAGCGAAGGGAAGAACCACACATCTTGCAGCCTCATCTTCCCCATCAGTCCTGAGGCTGTTACTTCTGCACTCCCAGAATTCAACCTCGTTTAATGGTGGGCACACTCCCGCCTTCCACACTCTGCCACCAGCAGGCAGAATGACAAGAGAAGAGGGATCCCAGTTGTGACAGGCATTCCATCCCTCTGCAGACCAGCCTGGGAGGAGAGCATGATGTCCAGCACGGCTTGGAGGCAAGAGAGGACACGGGAAGGGTCGTGGCATTGCAGGGCAACAGCTTCCCTCTGAAAGCACTCCAAGCAGGTGGATGCAGCCAGCCCTGGAAGACTGCCCGGAAATGACACGGAACCTTTGAGGGTGTGGGCCACCGCCCTGGGCACCAGTGACAGAGGCACAGAGTGAAGGATGTCTGCTGCCACTGCCCACCCCTGAACACCAGAGCCCGGAGGTGGCCCCACAGCCGATGCAGGAGCCCACAAGTGCCACTCAGGCTTGAGGCTTGGGCAGCTGTATCCCAGAGCCCCGCACTCATTCTGTCTGATGTGAGTGGGAATCCTCAAAACCCACGTGTCAGCATCATGCTGGTGGCTCAGTCCCATTCACACCTGTGAAGGAAGTCCCCTCCTGGCCAGTGAGGGTGGCTCGCTCATCAAGCCACTCACTGAGACCTGAAGCAACCTCATAGTCAACAGCCCTAGAGCTCCTGGGGCATCCGTGGCCCCATGCACAGGGCAGAGGGTTGGAGAGTGCCCTGAAGGGAACGGCAGGGCCCACAGGGTGGCTCAGGCATAGGCCCTCTGCACAAGAGCATTGCTCCGGCTACACGGTTCTCCCTGGTGTTCCTGGAACACGCCAGGCTTGCTTCCTTCTCAGGGCCTCTGTACTTGCTCCCCGATCCCTGGAACCTACCACCTTCTACAGGACCTGCTCCCTGGACACTGGGGATGCAGTGGGCGCCTCCACTCCAGGGAAAGGCAGCCAATGTGAAGAATGGACCGGCCAGAGAGCACTGAGGGAGGCTGGGGCCCAGTTTTATTTTTATGTGTTTAAAGTTTTAATTTTGAAATAACTTTAGATCTATGCTGTCTTGGAAAAATTGCAAGAAAAGTTGCAAAAATAGCATAGATTTCCTCTGTGCCCTTCACCCAGCTTCCTCCGTATGCAACGTAGAACAAGGACTGAAACCAGGAACTTTGTAGGTTGATACTAAGCGTTGGTACTTAGTGTCTTAGTTTTAGTCTATTTTGTGTTGCTATAATGGAATACCTGAGACTGGGTAATTTATAAAGAAAAGAAGCTTATTTAGCTCATGGTTCTGCAGGCTGGGAAGTTCAAGAGCATGGCCCTGGCTTCTGGTGAGGCCTTTTTGTGCTGTGTCATAACGTGGTGGAGAGGGTCAAAGGGAAAGCCCATGTGTGCAAAGAAGGGAAACCCAGGGAGTGTCCTGCTTTTATAACAACCCAGGCTCGGGAACTAATCAAGCCTCTCCAGAGCAAGAATTCCCTTGCTACCTTGAGAACAGTATCAAGCCACTCACGAGGGATCGGCCTCCATGATTCAGATACCTCACCCCAGGCCCCACCTTCCAACACTGCCACACTGGGGACCAAATGTCAAGATGAGTTTTGGTGGGAACAAACCAGTCACATTCTAACCGTAGCACTCCAGACTGCACTGAATTTTGTCAGTCTTCCGACTCATGTCGGTTGTCTGGTTCAGGCTCCCCCTCAGGATCCCACGTGGCATTTAGTTGTTGTGTCTCTCCCGTTTCCTCCCATCTGAGGTTTCATGACCTGGATGTTTTTGAAGAGGACTGGTCAGCTGTTTTGTAGACGGTGCATCCCCATGGGTTTTTCTGGTGTGCCTTGTACTGGCTTGAGCTTACGTGTTTCTGGCAGGACTGTCACAGAAGCACTGTGCCCTCCGTAGGGCACCACGCTGGGACTGTCACATTGGGATGTCCAGTTGTCTCCTATTGTCAGTGATGCCCTTCTTCATTTGGCTAAGGTGTTACCTACTGGGATTCCACTGGATGCCCCGGGAGCTCTAGGGCTGTGACTGTGAGGTTTTTTCAGGTCTCAGATGAGTGGCTTGATGAGCAAACCACTCTTTCACTCTTTTTTCCCATTGCGATGATTAAATCTCCCGTGGGTAGCTGCTGTGACGTGATGTGAGCATTCTGTTTCTTGTTATCCTTTTGCTCACTAATTGTAGCCTCCACGGATAAGTCGTACCTGCCGCAGTCCTGACTGTGCTGTTGCCGATGGGGTTTACTACCATGATTTTCTATCTCATCATTTCTTTTACATTTTTAGTTGAATTACCCTGTGAGAAAGAGCTGCCCTTCCCCTCCCACTTATTTATTATTCAGTTATTTGTTTCTACCAATACTGATCTGTGGATATTTATTTTATTCAATGGGTTCTAACCTATTACTATCATTTATTATTGTGTTCAAATTGCCCCAGATTTGACCACCGAAAGCACCTTCCAGCTGCCTCCTCCATCGTTCCGCTGTGCTTGGGTGTGATTTCACACGGGGCGGTGGGACAGGCCGTCTCTGAGCAGGGAGTGTGGGTGTGAGCAGAGCCCTGCAGGAGGGGCGCAGTCCTGTGGCAGTCAGAACCAGCTGGGGGGCTGCAGCCTGCTCTCGGGGAAGGCCTGGTATGCACAAGGTCAGCACCTGGCCTGGAGCTGCCACCTGCTCACCTGTCTGGTTTCTGGTGGGGGCCCTGAGATCCCGGGCTTGGCACTGCCGGAGGGCGGGGCTGTGCTGCGGTATGGATGCCGTGCCGTGCTGTGCTGTGCAGGCAGGGTTACTGGACATAAGCCTGGTGTGGCCTTTCATACCCTGGGGTGCCACTGTCTCCCAGTGTGACACCTGGTGGCCTTGTCCCTTGTGAGGACCAGGATCTGTGGGGCACTTGATCCCATGAGTTCAGTCTCCCCGAATCTGTAGTGGCATCCAGGGAGGGCAGGTGCGCCTGAGCCTGCCTGCATTCTGGATACGGCGCCTTTGGTCATTGCTGGCCTCGCTGCTCCGGCTCTCCAGTGGGCCAACCACCCACAGAGGGGCCTAGGGCCCTGGCGGCTGCTGTCCTGGCTCTAGAATAAATACACATCCCAGAGTCACCAGTGTGGGCTCACCAGTGCTGGGGCCCTGCCCCCGCCCCTCCCCCGGAGCCACCCTGGGTGGGTGGGGACACGGGCTGGGCAGTGTCTGAAGGCCTGCAGAGCAGCCTGGCCACAGCCCAGACAACCTGGCCCTCAGAGCCCTGGCTCTTCCCATAAATAAACCAGACAGGATCCTTCGTCAGATGGTATGGCCTGATTTTTGTTTTGGGAACTCTGGACAGAAGGGGAAGCAGACAGCCTCGGGCCTGGCAGGGCTGCCCGCCCGGGAGTGGCAGCTGGGCAGGCGGGCAGAGGACGGTCGGCGGTCAGCGTGCCCTGGATAGCACAGTGGGCCCCAGAGATCACAGCAGGAAAAGAAGCCCAATTCAAAGGAAGCAGGAGTGAGGCAGTGCACAGGCTCTGTGTGTGCATGAGGCCGGAGGGGTCCTGAGAGGGGCCTGTGGCCCAGGGACCCGGGGAGATGACAGCCTGTGATGGAAAGTGAAAGGGGGGGTCCTCTGGCTGGGAAAACTGCCTGATCTGGGCAGCTTTGCACAAGCAGACATGGAGGACATGCCCCACTGAGTCTCACCATCAACTCTCAACTGCAGCCCCCTCTGGGGGAACCGAGGCTTTGAGAGAGGAAAGGCTGATCCTTGTTGCACAGTGGAGTGGGGGGACTGGCGTTGGGCGGGCTGCGTCCCAGCCTGTGCTCTCCCCATGGGAGTTCCTGTCTGCCCCTGCTTCTAAGGGGGACGTCCGTCGGGTAGTGTGTCTTCCCCACACTGCTGGGAGCCAGCCAGGCAGCTGGGCCCTTGGTGGGCACTGGTTTCCCTCTGAGCACCTGGCCCCTCCTGGAGGAGCACCCGCTGTGGGAAGGAGCAGACCCTGCCTCCTGGGTCCTCGAGACTGGGGACCTGCTCTCCGGGCTGAGCTGCCACAGAAAGGGTATTGGATGCTGTTCAAAACACGCCACACATCTAGAATTGCATACCCCGTCTTCCAACAGCTGCGTAGACTCAGCCTTGGGATCGCCCAGAAAATTCTGGGGTGCAGTGGGCATGGGGAGTGCCCCCACACGGGAGCCTTAGCCAGCCTCTCTGCAGGAATGTGAGACACCAGCCTCAGCTGGCTCCAGTCGTGGGCTCTGGAGCAGGGCTCCTGCTGGACCGTGAGAGAGTGGCCTGCTGCTGGCGGAGGGGTCCTGAGGCCCGTCCACCACCCACCGGCTGTGCAGCATTCTTGTCTCCCTGCGCCTGCACTCACTGCCCCGTGTCCCCATGTGAGAATGCCCAGTTTAGAAGGAAGGGTGAGATGGGCATCCCATGTGGCCAGCCCTGGGCGGGCTCCTACTTCCCTGGAGTGGCAGCTTTCCTCCATGCTGGATTTCTGGCCCCTGGGGAGTGATCCTGGCATTGACCTTCCGGCCTGTCCAGAGTGGCTCCCCAAGGAACAGCCCGCCCAGCTCTGGCCACCGGACCCTGCCAGCAGCCTGCTCCGATTCTGTGTGGACTTGGCGCCTGGAGGCTGTTATGGGCTGAGTGACGCCCTCCCTAGATCCCCCAGTTCCTTTGTTGAGGTCCTAAACTCCCGTAGATCAGGATATTGGCTGTATTTGGAGGCAGGGTCTTTAAAGAGATAATTAACTGAAAATGAAGTCACTGATTCAACATGAATGACTGGTGTCCTAAGAAGAAGCGATTAGGACAGAAGTACACACAGGGGGACGGCCATGTGAGGACAGGGGAAAGATGCTGTCGACAAGCCAAGGAGAGAGGCCTCGAGAGAAACCGCCTCTGCCCACACCTTAATTTTAGAGCTCTAGCCTCCAGGACTGTGAGAGAATAGGTTCTGCTATTCAAGCCCCGGCCTGTGCTGCCCTGTGATGGCTGCCCGAGCAACCTAGGGAAGGCGCCGGCCCCGACCTTTTGTGGGAGGGGGTGCTGGCAGTCTACCTGGGCAGCATCTCCTGGTGGATGTGGGTGAGCCTGCTGTGAATGCTGGGGGACGGTCCTGGGTCCCCAGGCCCTCAGTTCTTGGAGTGCAGCCTTGCAGGGTTTGGTTGCTCTCCAGGGTGGGTCCCCTGGGGAATCTGGTAAGGAAGCATATGTTGGCAACTCCCAGACATGTGCCCCTGCCACCCCAGCCCCCTGAGCAGACAGACCCACCGTGCCGGCTCTGTCTCTGGGAGTGCTGGTGCTCAGGCGTGCTGGTCTCCTGGGCTGGTTGGAGGAAGGGAGGGGCGGTGTGTGCAGACCTCCAAGGAGGCAGGGAGGCTGGCAGGGAACAGCTGTGCAAAGGTGTTAGGTTCCAGCTGGTGTGGGCAGGTGCCAGCCCAGGGGAGGGCCTGTCGACAGGGTCTTTTTTTTTTTTTTTTTTTTTTTGAGACAAGAGTCTCTCACTCTGTAGCCCAAGCTGGAGTGCAGCGGTGCGATCTTAGCTCATTGCAACCTCCGCCTTCTGGGCTCAAGCGATTCTCATGCCTCAGCCTCCCGAGTAGCTGGGACTACAGACGCCCACCACCATGTCCCGCTAATTTGTTGTATTTTGGTAGAGACAGGGTTTCACCATGTTGCCCAGGATGGTCTCAAACTCCTGACCTCAGGTGATCCGCCTGCCTCGGCCTCCCAAAGTGCTAGGATTATAGGCGTGAGCCACCGTGCCCGGCCTGTTGGCAGGATCTTGAATGGGGAAGTTGGACCTTATTCCATGAGCTCTCCTCCACCACACGTCTCAAGGCCACAATCTGCTGTGGTCCAGCTGGTGAGACATGGAAGCTCAGAAAGAAAAATCTTGCTTTTTGATAGTTTGGCAAATGTTCCTGCAGCACGAGTCATTTTTCTTCTTTAGTAGAGAGCGCCCTGTTATTTATGTGAATGTTAATTTGTGACTGGGGACGTTCCCCGACGTGGGCTTCATGCTGAACGAGACCTGGGAAATGTCAGCCAGAGAATCTGGCCGGGACGAGTGTCAGTTCTCGTCACAAATAGGCAGGCCTGTTGCAGTCCCAGAGTCTGGGTCTGACCCACTGACCTCTGTGTCCTGGCTGGGTCTGGCTGGCCAGCTCTGTTTCCTGGAGGCTACCCCGGCATTGGTGTGTGCAGGAGCCATGGAGATGGGGGAGCTGGCTGCAGAGGGCTGAGTGTGGGACATTCTGGACAGGCCAGGTCCCGAGGGAGCCACTCAAGCGTTGCTTGATTTAGCAGAAGGCCGCCTGGCTGGCCCCTGCGCTGGCCCCGTGAGGCATTCTTGTCGGCATCTTGTTTATTCCATTTTCCCCCTTATCTTTCTCTCTGTGCTCTCCCCCTTTCCGTCTCTCCTGTCTTCACATGAATTGTCTGTTTTGCTATATGCCCTTTGTAAAAATGTAAAACAAAAAAAATACAGAAAATATTAATAAAAAGTGAAACTCACCCCCGATCGTAACACTGCTGACCCTTTGTTACGCGTTTCCTAACAGCTGTCATGCCATGATCATCATGATGGTGATGGTGCTGCCAGTCGGCTGATTTATCACGTGCTGTGCCCAGTGCTAGAGACGCAGTATCTCGCTTAGCCCTCACATCAGCCATGGAAACCCTGTTATTATCTCCATTCAACCCTGCAGACACTGTCCACAGAGAGGCCACTCAGTCAGAGGTGAAGTAAACATTTGAATCGAGGCAGAGTGACTCGGAGGCCACATGCTTAATTATTAGACTGTGCTGACGTTTGGCACAGAGATATACATGATTTTACGTAAGGAGGTCATGCTGCAGCTGGGCTTGCCGCCTTCTTCGGTCACCAATATGTCATGGGTGTGTCTGTTCCTTAAGTGGTCAAAAAATCTGAGAAACTCTTTTAGCCTAGCATAAATCTGTAAATTTTGTAAAATTATTTTGCAGGGCATAGAGTGTTATTGAAATAATCTGACTGGCTGGGAACGGTGGTTCACACCTGTAATCCCAGCACTTTGGGAGGCCGAGGTGGGCGGATCACCTGAGGTCAGGAGTTCGAGACCAGCCTGGCCAACATGGCGAAACCCCGTCTCTACTAAAAATGCAAAAATTAGCCAGGCATGGTGTTGTGCACCTGTAATCCCAGCTACTTGGGAGGCTGAGGCAGGAGAATTGCTTGAACCTGGGAGGCAGAGGTCTCAGTGAACTGAGCTCAGGCCACTGTACTCCACTCCAGCCTGGGTGACAGAACAAGACACTGTCTCCAAAATAATAATAATAATAATCTGACCATTTATTGTTTTTGTTGTCTGTTTTTGTTTGTTTGTTTGTTTTTGAGATGGAGTCTCACTCTGTTGCCCAGAATGGAGTGCAGTGATGCAATCTCGGCTCACTGCAACCTCAGCCTCCTGGGTTCAAGCAATTCTCCTGCCTCAGCCTCCCAAGCAGCTGGGACCACAGGCGCGTACCACCAAGCCCGGCTAATTTTTGTGTTTTTAGTAGAGACGGGGTTTCACCATATTGGCCAGGCTGGTCTTGAACTCCTGGCCTTGTGATCCATTCGCCTCGTCCTCCCAAAGTGCTGGGATTATGGACGTGAGCCACTGCGCCCGGTTGGATTTTGGGTTTTTTTGAGACAGGGTATCTCTCTGTCTCCCAGGCTGGAGTCTCCAAAATAATAATAATAATAATAATAATAATAATAATAATAATAATAATCATCTGACCATTTATTGTTTTGTTTTGTTTGTTTAGTTTTAGGTTTTGGTTTTTTTGAGTCAGGGTCTGTCTCTGTCTCCCAGGCTGGAGTGCAGTGACATGATCTCGGCTCACTGTAACTCTGCCTCCTGGGTTCAAGTGATTCTCCCGCCTCAGCCTCCTGAGTAGCTGGGATTACAGGTGTGCACCACCACGTCTGGCTAATTTTGTATTTTTAGGACAGATGGGGTTTCACCATGTTGGCCAGCCTGGTCTCAAATTCCTAACTGCCTCAGCCTCCCAGAGTTCTGGGATCACATCATGCCCAGCCTACATTTATTGTTATATATTTGTTCTTACTTCTGTCATCTAATTTATGTTTTCTGTTTTTCTGGATTTTTTTTTTTTTTTTTTTTTGCTGTTTTTCTAGTCTACCATATTTTCTATATGGTCTGCCTTCAGTCATTTGGAAGGTATACATTAGTTTTACTAGTTGTGACTTTTCTAATTTTGAGTAGAATTCTTCAGCTTGTATCTACTGATTTTAGAAACTTACCAGTAACTGTTGATGCTAACTGAAGATTCTGAAGATTAGGAAACGAGTGCAATTAAACTGTAATTCCTTTTTTCTTCCTCTACTCTTTGTCTGATTGTTGTGGGCTTGTTTGGCAATTTTTTGCCTGCCCCCATTTATTAAAGTTAAATTATGAATAGTTTATATATTACATAGCTTTTTTTTTCCAGAATATATGCTAAATGTCTTCTGATTTGTAACCCTCATTATCCCTGTAGCATAGATGCAGAGGGCAATTCCGCTATTTCGACCTGTGATTTCCCCACTTGCCAGGTGTCTCAGTTTTAAAGTCAAGTCCAGGCTGCGTAAAGTGGCAGGTGGGGGGTGCTGGGGAGGGATGCCAAGCAGAACTGAGACAGACGCTCTCGAGGGCATTCTCTAGCAGCAGGGTTGAAGCCATCCCTCTGTGCACCCTCTCCCAGGGCCCAGAGTTGCTCACAGTGGCTCACCTGGTTAGTTGATAGACTTAGGGCTCCCATCTCAAGATGACATGGTTTTACCGTGTTAGCCAGGATGGTCTCAATCTCCTGACCTCGTGATCCGCCTGCCTCAGCCTCCCAAAGTGCTGGGATTACAGGGTGTGAGCCACCATGCCTGACCAAGCCCTTGGTTTCTAATGCAGAGTTTCTTTGTAGGCCAATGTTTCCTAAACATTGGCCTAGGAGGTGAACTAATGGGTACCAAACATGACTCCAGAATGCATTTAATTCTATCAAATCCCAGCTAGCTTTGTGGCAGAAATTGACAAGCTGATCCTAAAATTCATACAGAAATACAAGGGATCCAGACTAACCAAAATGCTATTGAGGAGAAGAACAGAGGAAGGGCTCATGCTTTGTAATTCTAAGACTTACTACAAAGCTGTAGTAATCAAGACTGTGTGGTGTTGGCAGAAGGATAGACATATAGATTGGTAGAATAGAACTGAGAGTTTGGAAATACATCCTCATATTGATTCTTGACAAAGGTCCAAGACAAGTCAGTGGGGGAAAGAATGGTCTTTTCAACAAATGGTGTTGGCACACCTGGATATCCACATATGGAAAAATGAAGTTGGACCCCTTCCTCACACCATACACAAATATTAACTGTAAATGGATGGATCATAGATCTACATGTAAGAGCTAAAACTATAGAACTCTTAAATAATGTAGGAGTAAATCTTTGTTACTTTGGATTAGGCAAAGTCTTAGATATGACACCAGAAGCACAAGTGGACAAAAGAAAAAAATAGGTGAACTGGACTTCAAGAAAGTCCTTCATGACTTCAGTGGACACTAATAAGAAAGTTGAAAAGACAGCCCACAGAACAAGAGAAAATATTCATAAATTGTATATCTAATAAGGGATTTGTGTCTAGAATATATAAAGAGCTCTTACAGGTCAATAAAAAGAAAATGGTCTTATTAAAAATAGGGAAAGTATCTGAATGGATGTTTCTCCAAAGTTAAATAAATGACCTATAAGCTCATGAAAAGATGCTTAGCATCATTAGTTGTCAGGGAAATGCAAGCCGAAGCATGATGGGACACCACTTCACACCTGCTGGATAGCTAGAGTCAAAGAGCCTAAGAATAATGAGTATTGGTGGGGATGAGGGGAAATTGAACCCTCACACACTGCTGGGGGCACTGAGAATGGTCCAGCCCCTGTAGAGGACAGTCTGGCACAGTTACTGTATGACCCAGTAATTCCACTTTGAGAGGAATGAAAACACATGTCCACACAAAAACTTGTCCACAGATGTTCATAGCAGCATTATGCATAGGAGCCAAAAACCAACAACCCACATGTCCATCAACCGGCAAATGGATAAATAAAATGTGGTATATACATGTGATGGGGTATTATTTGACAATAAAAGAGGAATGAAATACTGCTATATGCTACACCATGGATGAACCTTGAAAACATACTAAGTGAAGGAAGCCAGTCACAAAAGGCCACATAGCATGTGATTCCACGTATATGAAATGTCCAGAATAGGCCAATTCATAGAGACAGAATGTAGATTAGTGGTTGCCCAGGGCTGGGTTGGGGAGGAGAGGTTGGGGAAAACATGGGGAGTGACTGCCAATGTGTACGGGGTTTCTTTTTGGGGTGATGAAAATGTTCTAAAATCAATAGTGGTTATGGTTGAATTGTTCACTTTCAGCATATAGTTTAGATGGCTGAGATGTATGGTATGGTAATCACAGCACCATAAAGCTGTTATATATTAAAAAGCATTGAACTGGCCGGGCGCCATGGCTTATGCCTGTAATCCCAGCACTTTGTGAGGCCGAGGCAGGTGGATCACCTGAGGTCAGGAGTTTGAGACCAGCCTGGCCAACATGGTGAAACCCCATCTCTACTAGAAATACAAAAATTAGCTGGATGTGGTGGTGTGTACCAGTAATCCCAGTTACTTGGGAGGCTGAGGCAGGAGAATCGCTTAAAAATGGGAGGCAGAGTTTGCAGTGAGCTGAGGTTGCGCCACTGCACTCCAGCCTGGGTGACAGAGCGAGACTCTGTCTCAAAAAAAGAAGAAAAAAAGCATTGAACTTTATAATGAAAAATGATTCCCTTTTCAGTTGCATTTTAAACTCTCTGGTTGAGTCGAGGGGAGTCTCAGTTTGGTGCTGACAGATCTTTACCAGCTCTCTGCTACTTACTGACCTCTATAACAAGAGAGAAGGGCAGCGGTGTAGGCTTTGAGGTGCAAATAGAAGCCCGGAGAGAGAGGAAGACACTGGGGGTGCGCCCAGGGACAGACGGCTGCTGGGACCCCATGGAAGGCCTTGCGTGCCATGGGACGGCCTTGGCCTTTATTTTACAGGAGTGGGTTTCTGGTTTTTGGTTTGGTTCTTTCTCCTTGGTCCTAGTAGAGTTTTAGAAGGATGATCGGTACCTGCCAACGTGTGCGGGGTTTCTTTTTGGGGTGATGAATAAACAGGATAAGCAGTAATTCATAGGTTACGTAGTCCAGCTCCTCAGTTTGCAGATGAGGGAACTGGGGGCCTGCAAGGGGGCAGGACTGGCCATGACCGCATTGGAAACCAGGGCCCCTGGCTCAGCGTCCAGTGCTTACTCTCCCTGCCTGCCTCGCCCCCCACCCTGCCCTTCAAAGTGGAGTCTAGCTTTCCTTAGAGCCTCGCTGGGCATGTGACTGTCGGGGCTCCTTGGTCCTGTTGGAAATTGGCTCCGGCCAGCTTAGGCCAAAAAAGAGACTTTCTGGAGTAAAGGTCTGTAGGGCCTGAAACCAGGTCCAGGGAAGGTTAGAGTGGCCAAGCAAAGTCATCAGGTTCTGTGGAGCTCAGAGGCAACTCTGTTGTGGTCACTGTGCTCAGCAGAACCCTGGAAGGCCCAGCTCCAGCCATAGCTCCAAGACAGAGCCCTAGACAAGGGGTCGCTCTCCAAGAGGAAGGACGGGAGTGGCTGGCACCTGGCGAGGATCCCATGAGACAGAGGAGGAGCTGGTGGAGATGCGGGTGAGGACAGCTGTTTCCTAACCCCATGGACAGCTCCTGCCCGCTGGCGTCCCTTTTGGAAAAGTGGAAAAGTCAGTGTGTGAAATCCTCTGGGATGCTGAACTGTAAAGGAGCCCCCAGTGGTGAGGACCGAGTGGCTCAAATCCCACTCGATACTTCCCACTCCTGGGACTGTCCAGTGGTGAGGACGGAGTGGCTCAAATCCCACTCAATGACACTTCCCACTCCTGGGACTGTTCAGTAGTGAGGGGTCCAGCCCCCTTCCCTGAAAGCTCCCAAGGTTGTTAGAGACCTCCCTGGGGAGCTGGGAGAGGCAAGAGAGTGCCCGAGCAGGCTCTGAGAGGAGGCGCCCTGGGAACTGCAGGCACTGTGCAGCTCTCCCTGTGAGACCGTCATTCCACCAGGCAGCTGTCACAGCAGGGGAGGCTGCCTGGCCATTGCCCCGTTGTCCAGCAGATCTCCCAGGTTCATTACCAAAAGGAAGATGGGGAGAAAGAATCTTGGAGTTAGAATACTTTCAGGAATGGGAATCTTAGCAGATGCCAGCATCTGGGGGACTCTTGGCAAGGTGCGTGCTGTGTGTGTATTTCGGAGGGAGGTGAGTTTGAGGGCAACAGGGACTTGCAGCCTTGTCCCTTGGCAAAGTCTGGGTCCCTCTGTGCATGGACCTGTGTGCTTCCTATGCTTTGTGCCTTCTATGCTTGATTGTTGCCACTGCAACCTTGGCACACACCTGACAGTGTTTATGCTGGAGGTTGACAAGGTTGAGTGACAGACCAGGTCCCAGTCATACACAGGTGGGAGGCTGCTGATGGCTGCAGCTGTGGCTTCCATGGGAAGGGGCAGTGGGAACCAGCCAGCCTGGGTGCTCTGCAGAAGGAAACAGGATGCATGCTTGTGTTTCCTGTGAACCCCTAACTTCCAGGCTGTCTGTGGTTGAATACTTAAAAATTCAGAGTAATAGAGGAGAGCTGTTAAGCCTTTGGATCTTTATAAATTTTTAACATCTAGTTGCCATTTCTAGTAACTACTTTACCATCAATCCAACTGCAAAGGAGCAGGTTCTATAGAAGGAAGAGGCAGGGCAGGCGTTGTGTAACTCACCAGGATCTGAATGCCGGCAACTTGACTTGATGACCCGGGTACTACCAGGCTCTGGGCCCCTGCGGTGGCACCTGAAGGTCAGGGACAGAGCCCTCCCCATGATCCTCTCTCTGTCCCCCAGGGGAGAACCTGGCTGGGTTTGCCAGACATCCACAGACTTCAAGAGCAGAGTGGGACTCACACTTAGAGCCAGGTCGGGGTACCAACCTTTCTGTAAGACCCCAGGCTGGACAGCTGTGGGGTTGGACAGACAGGCCACCAGCAGGCTCCCAACTGAGTGCTTTTCAGCCTAGTGTGCTTCTGGAGTTTCTTTAATATTTATTGAGTGGGGAGAGGAAACTGATTCTAATTAATAAAAATTACATGTAAAAACAGATACACTTGACACTGGCAGCAGGAAAATCAAAGTCCCGGAAAAAAATGCAGCAAAACATAGCTCACATTTTGTGCTTTGCTCTCCTGTCAATTTTCTTCTGTGTGTTTTAGACAGATCATTCCTGGGATGCATATACTGAAGTGTTTGAAAATCAGGGAATAAAATGATCTCCACTTCTTCCGTGAAGTGCCCCCCGCCCCGAGCATTATTCTGGCCAGCGGTCTTGGCAGGACGTCAGCTGATGGTCTTGGGGGGGTCAGCCTTTGGTCTCGGGGGGGTCAGCCTTTGGTCTCGCGGGGGGTCAGCCTTTGGTCTCGGGGGTGGTCAGCCTTTTGTCTCGGGGGTGGTCAGCCTTTGGTCTCGGGGGGGTCAGCCTTTGGTCTCGGGGGGGTGTCAGCCTTTGGTCTCGGGTGGGGGGTCAGCCTTTGGTCTCGGGGGGGGGGTCAGCCTTTGGTCTCGGGGGGGGGTCAGCCTTTGGTCTTGGAGGGGGTCAGCCGTTGGTCTCGGGGGGGGTCAGCCTTTGGTCTCGGGGGGGGGTCAGCCTTTGGTCTCGCAGGGGGGTCAGCCTTTGGTCTCAGGGGGGGTCAGCCTTTGGTCTCACGGGGGGTTCAGCCTTTGGTCTCGGGGGGGGTCAGCCTTTGGTCTCGCGGGGGGGTCAGCCTTTGGTCTCGGGGGCGGTCAGCCTTTGGTCTCGGGGGGTGTCAGCCTTTGGTCTCGGGGGGGTTCAGCCTTTGGTCTCGCGGGGGGGTCAGCCTTTGGTCTCGGGGGTGTCAGCCTTTGGTCTCTGGGGGGTGTCAGCCTTTGGTCTCGGGGGGGTCAGCCTTTGGTCTCTGGGGGGTGTCAGCCTTTGGTCTCGGGTGGGGGGTCAGCCTTTGGTTTCGCGGGGGGGTCAGCCTTTGGTCTCGGGGGGGTCAGCCTTTGGTCTCTGGGGGGTGTCAGCCTTTGGTCTCGGGTGGGGGGTCAGCCTTTGGTCTCGGGGGGGGGGGTCAGCCTTTGGTCTCGGGGGCGGTCAGCCTTTGGTCTCGCGGGGGGTCAGCCTTTGGTCTCGGGGGGGGGGTCAGCCTTTGGTCTCGGGGGGTGTCAGCCTTTGGTCTCAGGGGGGTCAGCCTTTGGTCTCGGGGTGTCAGCCTTTGGTCTCGGGGCAGGTGCCACCATGTTCATCGTCCAGCATGCGTTGTGCGCATCGCACGGTGGTCAACAGAGACGGGCGGGGCTGTGAGGAGCATGTTGAACGTCTGTGTTGGAGAATGCCACCGCTTGGAGGCTTCTGGCTGTGTGAGGAAGCCTGAGCCCAGGCCCTGCTTCAGATGGACCCCAGTGTGCTCCTGTGCCCTCCGAGGAGTCGCCTGCAGGGGTGCCCTTCCAGGAGGCAAGGCCCAGGGCAGCATCAGATGGAGCTAGTGCTGTTGGCTCAGCCCAGTGATTGTCCTCAGGGAGGCAGCCAGGGAGGGGAGCCTGACCCCTGCTGGTCAGGGAGACCCCAAACTGTCCCCCGGGTTACTCCGGCCAGAGAGTACTGCCCTTCCCCAGGCTGAGCCTGGCCTCATTGTCACACTAGGTCCCTCCAGAATAACCCCAGGGCCTCAGGCCTGTGGCATCGATGGCTCCCGACCTGGGCTGCAAGTTCCCCCAGAAGATGGAGCTGCCATAAGGGGTCCTCATGCCCCAGTGTCCTGCCCTAATTGGCTCAATCGGCCCAGTCTGGCCCAGGGACCTGTCTGGGAGATGCCCTTTCCGTGTAGGTGTGAGTTCTGATCCCTAGAACCTGTGTGTCCCCAGCAGCCTGTCTGCCCATCTAGGCCTCGGTTTCCTCATTTGGAAAGCAAGCTGGCTGGATGAAATCACTTGGGTGGAGGCGTGGCCTGGTTCTCAGTGTCTCCCAGGCTGCATGTGCTCCTGTGTGAGTGTGCACGGGAAATGACCTGCCTCATGTACAGACGAGTCACTGGACGCTTGGGGAGCTTGACACCTTGCCTGAGGTCACCTGGCCAGATAGAAAGGGTGCCAGGAAGTCAGAACTTCACGCTCCAGGACAGCTTGCCCGCTGCCGCCCCCCAGGGTTAATTCCTGCACTTCATCCAATGAGTTTCAGTCATAAGATGGATTTGAGGCACCAGCCTTCTCCACACCACGCACCGGGACCATCAGTGCTGGACCCTCCCAACTCCTGCACTGGTAAACACACTGCCCCTGTGCCAGTGGACAGGCCTGGCTGTGTTCTTCCCGCCTGCCTGCTCGGTGCCTCCCTTGGGGGACGTGGCCTGCAGCTTTGGGGTCATCGGTTCGCTCATTCCACAGGCATCTGCTGAGTCTTCGCCAGGCCTGGTTGAGCCCTGAGACCCAGGGATGAGTCAGAAGCGTGGGGCCTGCAGGGTTCCCACCCCCTCTTCCGCTCTCCTCCCACAGCCCTGCTGACCTCCTTCTCCGACCTCGGTCTTGCCCTGGTAACTCTGGTTACCACTGCCTCCTAGGCCTCTTCCCCAGAAGCCCAGGATGCCTGAGCCCAGAGGGTCCTGCGCCCCTTGCCCTTCTTCTCATGCCCCTCGGAGAATGGCACCCACTTTGCCGGCCACCCACCAGGACCCTGAATTACTTTTCTGCGGCTGCTGTAAGGAACCACTTAAAACAGCAGGAATTCGTTCTCTCACAGTTCTGAGGCCGGACGTCCGAAGTCGGTATAACCTGACCCAAATCCAGGCATCGGCAGGGCTGCGCTCCCTCTGGAGACTCTGGGGGAGGACACTTTCTGGCCTCTGCCAGCTCCTGGGGGCTGCCAGCATTCCTTGGCTTGAGGCCACATCGCTCCAATCTCCAAAGCTGGCATCTGGCATCCTCCCTGTCTGCCCATGGCCTCGTCCTCTGCGCATCTGCCTAATCCCCCTCCACTCCCCGGCATAAGGAAGTGGGCAAGGACTGCATTCAGGGCCCAGCCAGCCCCAGAGCTGACCTGATCACACCCGCAGAGTCTCTTTCCACCATGTCCACTACCCTCACAGCTGCCAGGGATGGGGGCCTGGGTAACTTTGGGGGCCGGTTCTTCAGCCACAGACCTGGAAGCCCACCAGGTGCTTCCTCCTCCCTCCCATCTCAGCCGGCTCTACCCTACCACGTCCTGTCCATTTCGCTCCTCACCTCCTTCATACCTGCCACTCGTCCTTGTCTCTCATGCTCCCGTCTGGACCATTACCCCTCTCCCAGGTGCCTGTAACACCTTCTCCCCAGGACCCCAGACCCATTTTTGTTCCGCAGCCCATTCCCCCTGCCGCAGCCACCATGCTTCTGAACTGGAATCAGATCAAGGCTCCCCCCAGAAGCCCTGGGCTGCCTACAATCTCCCTCACCAGCCCCCTGAGTGATGGGCCACCGGGCACCGTGCCCTTGATGCTCCTGTCCACCCACCTGGTCAGCTCTTCCCACCAGCTGTGCTCCGTCCACCTCCCCGGCCATGGCATGTGCGGTTTCCCCCATATGGAGCACTGGTCCTCTCTCTGACTCTTTGCCTGGCCAGCACAAAGGGATTGGGTGGGTTTGGGTAGATGTCACCTCCTGCCGGAGGCATCCTTCATTCTGGAGCCAGGCCTGATGCTGGGCTCTGTGTTCCTCCAGGCCCTGCACCTCCACCAGCCCCTGCCTGGCACATCAGCTTCCCGAGGGCCCAGGCTGAGTGCGCCGGGAGGCATCTCCAGCCTCCCTCGCTACACTTGAGGCTAGGGGCAGCCGCCCAGCAGGCCCTGGGGGGCACTGACTGCATCTCGGTCTGCAGAGGCTCCCAGCCAGCAACAGGATGGGGCTCACCGAGCACCTGGGGTCAGGGAGAAGGAGGGGCAGCCCGTGCGCCACCGTGCCCCCCCACAACCAAGATGATGATATGGCAGAGGCCATCATGAGGTTACTTTGGGGGGGGTGTGGTTTCCGCACATCCAGATGGCAGGTGCCGGGGGCTGCCCACCAGAGGGCACACTCCTAACTGGACAGGGGACCCCGGCCAGCGCCAGCTAAGCTGGAGTGTCGATGGGTGCTGGAAATGCCAGCTTTTCTGATTTTCAAGAGAGTCTGGAAATCTGGTCGTTTATGTGAACTCTCCTGTTTCTTAAGTTTGGCAACAAATTCAAGCTTTTAAAATCCCCTGCATGGGTCATAAGCTTGTGATCTGAAGGAAACACTCTGAAGGCTGGACACAGTGTGCACTTCCAGTGTGAGACCTTGGTTTATGGATAATGGACCAGAAGATAAAAGTGTAGGAGCTGGAGTTGTCATGGGATGGGTGGACCTGATGGTGCCAGCAGGCTGGATGGCAGGGTATGGCAGGGGAGGGCAGGGTATGGCAGGGGAGGGCAGGCTGGATGGCAGGGGAGGGCAGGAGAGGTGAGGGGGTCTGAATCAGGCCTCGAAGGGGGAACACAGGTTTACCAGATGGCCGAGCTGGGGATGGGGTGGTGGGGTGGGAGAATGGGGATTCCTGAGTTGGCAGCATGGGGTTCAGGGGCTGGGTGGCTCGGCAGGGTGCACCCAGCCCAGTGAGAAGCATGGGGTGGTGCAAGCCGCGGTCTGGGAGGGTGGGGCAGGCCAAGAGCCTGAATGCCAGCATATAGAGCAGCCTGAGTCCCAACGGAAATGAGGACCCAGCGAGGAGTTTGTAGTCAGGGAGGGTGCTGGCTGGCCTAGGGGGTCAGGGGCAGCAGTTCAGCTGCCTGTAGAGTCTGGGCTGGTGGCTGACACAGAGAGCAGGAGAGACAGTTGGGGGGCAGTAGGGACTGGAGCCAGTTGCAGGGGCATGTGTTCCATCCAAGACCCGCTGTGGTCAGGGCCTGCGTTTCCAAGGAAAGCTGGGATTCCATGTTCAAGACATGAAATCTCATCATTCTGAGTGTTAGCTTCAGAGCTTTAAAAATATTGTTTGGCCCAGATGGAACATGTGTGTGGGCAGATTCAATCCCCGGCTGGCTGTTTTGACCTTTGTCTTGGACTCTGGGCTCCTGGGAGTGGGGGCAGCACTTGGCCCATATTGATGCACTTTGGTGGATGCCCTCCTGGGGACACGCACAGGCCCACAGCTGCCCTTGAATGTCTCCCTGCTTCTCTGGACGGTTTTGACTTTATAAACACAGTAACTTTTCTGAAAGCAGACAGGGTTGGTGTATAGGGGTGGAGATGACCCAGACAGAGGCCCCTTTCCTAGACAGGGTGGGCGGCGGGGGGCGGCCTCTGGGACCACATGTTCATACCCTCCGGCCAGCCCAGGGTTCAAGCTGAGCACCAGCTGGGGTGCTGGGCAGGGTCTTCAGGTGGGAGGTACTCCCTGAGGGGGTCTCCTCGCTGTTCCCCTTCCTTGGTCTTTTGTGTGCTGGAAATCTGATCCTGTTGTCTTTGTCCCGCAGGCTGGTCTGATCCGGATGGAGGAGGAGGAGTTCTTCATCGAACCCTTGGAGAAGGGGCTGGCGGCGCAGGAGGCTGAGCAAGGCCGTGTGCATGTGGTGTATCGCCGGCCACCCACGTCCCCTCCTCTCGGGGGGCCACAGGCCCTGGACACAGGTGAGGCTACTGCAGGTGGGCAGGCTGTGTGGAGAGCCCTCTGAGGCCCTGGTCCCCAGGGGAGCATCCCAGAGACTCAGGCAGCTCTCCACAGACCAGCTTGGCTGCTGAGGCTGAGCCCCGGTCTCAGTGGCTCAGAAATGGGCCAGCTGCCTGGCTGACGGCAGGGCGTAGCAGGGCTGCTGGGGCTGGGGCCTCTGTTCTGGGTGCATGTGGGTGACAAGCAGCCCAGACACCTCTGCCTTCATGTCTGGGGCCTCCATGGTGGACTATGAAGGCTGTCCAAGGGCCCATCTTCTGTTGCCTAAAGGCAAGCAAGTGTCGTGGAGCGGGGCGGGGGCCCCCGGCCAGGCCTGAGTCCAGTGCCTGCGTCTCTGAGTCTGTGCCTGTGAAGAGGCCTCCAGAGCCCCAGACAGCGCCTCTCCTGCTCTGTGCTGCCATGGTCCCTGGGAGGGTGCCTGTGGTAGGTCCCAACCCTCACCTGGCTGCTCAGGGAGAAAGGCCCTGCATGCTCTTTCTGGATCCCTGGAGGCATGTGCCCTACAAGGACTCTGGAGGTGCTCCCAGCAGCCTCAGCAGTCTCTGCACAGACTCATGGGCGTCTGTCTTTTTCAACTCAGAACCCACGTGTGCCCTGGGCCCAGAAACGTGAAAGGAGCTGCCAGGCGGCCATGGTGACAGTCCATGACTGTCGCCTCAGATCTGGCCTCACTGTGCCAGCCCACACCTCCCAGCATCCCCCAGTCTCTGGTCCTGGATTGTGGTGAAGCCAGGGTTGGTGTCTGATGTGGTTCTGCAGGCCCATAGTTCTCAGGGTCCCCCGTGTGGTCAGGGACTCCTGGCCTGTGCTTGGCTCTTGCTGGGAGAGTGGGAAGCTGCGAGCTCAGCCCTCAGCCTCTGGTCAGGACCCCTGGGTGAGGAGAGTCTGGAGTCTGGGGCCCAGGATCGGGCACACCTGCACGTTCACAGCGAGTGCTCCAGGGGCCTGGGCTGGGCCAGCCCCCGTGCTGTGATTTACTAAGGTACTCCCGTCACTCCATAGCAGCCCCGCCTCATTTACTGTAGGTCTGTCTGACTTCCTAGCTTGACAGAAAAATTGGGTACAGCCTGGCAGGCATACTTCTAATTTCATGAAACGGCATCAGATACCTTTGCAAAGGAATTGTTCCATCAGGAAGCCCAATGTACTCTGGAGCCAATCAGTGCAACCGGTGGCCCCTTGTTCCTTGGTGACAAATCAGCGTCTGCTATGCTGCAGACAGCCGGGCCACTGGGTACTGCCTGCCCAGCCTTTTCCAGCTGTGGTCTCAGCCTCGACTTATCCCCACCCTTGGACTATTTTGCAGGGAAGGAAGGAGGAGTAATCTAGGAGGGCCAGCGTGGAAGGGGCTGAGCGAGTGCTCCAGACCCGGGGGCAGGGCCCCAGCTTTGCTCCTTGCTAGCTAGCTGCTGTCGGGCAAGCCCAGTGGCATTAGCAACCCCTGTGTCCCCGAGAGCTCAGGGGCTGGTCACTTGTGCTGTGGGCTTGGTGCTTCTGGCTGGCCTCTCCTGGAAGATTCAGGGTGGTTCTGGGGGCCTCTGCTCAGGCGAGGTGAGCTGGCCACGTGCCCTTGGCCATGTCTCTGATCCCAGATTCCATATGGTGCTTGTCTTCCTGAACATGGCAGCCCTTCCCCCACAGCCTGGCCGGCCTTGCCTTATTTTCTGGGCTTCTGCTGGTGTTTGGCATCTTCTGCTGAATCCTCCCTCCACCCCCACCCCCAATCCACATATCTTTAATGAGAACTTGAAATTCAGAACACAGGAAAGGAATTTCAATCTCAGAATAAGCCCAGAAACCATTGGCCTTAGAAGACGCTGGGTGAGGCCAGCTGCCAGGTCAGGGGTGAGGCTGGGCTGGAAGGTGGGGGTTTGGTAATGGGCTGTCGGGGAGGAGGTGAGCCTGTCCAGCCTTAGCTCCAGGCCTGGGGCCCAGGCTGTGGATGTGAGCGTGGGCCTGGGGCTATAGGTCTGGATCCCAGAACTTGGGGCTGGGGCCAAGTCCCCTTTGCTTGATGTTCCTGTCTGGTGTCAGCAGACCCTGCATGAGGGGCTCGGGCCTTCAGTGAGCTAGCTCCCACGCCATGCACCTAATCGTTCCCACGTGGCCCTGGGCTGAGATCGACACACTGACTGGAAGGGCACCAGGCCCAGTGAGTGCCGGAGCTGGGTGGAGGGCCCACGGTGACCTCAGGCGTCCAGCTTTCCATCTGCCTGGGCCTTTTCAGGGCCCAGAGTGGCAACTGGGAGATACATAAAAGCTGTGTCCTGTGGCCAGGCATAGTGAGGGGCACAGCCTGCCTGGCACACAACTCCAGGACCTGGGTGCGGGTGTGTGTGTATGTGTGTGTGTGTATAGGGGACCCTTTCTTCCAGTGAATTCTGAGGGAACCCTGATATATCAGTGTGGCCCTGGCAGAAGCTGGCAGGAGGTGCTGGCTGGCAGTTTCTTCCTGCCTCCCCAAAAGCAACGTCTGGAAGTGGGTGTGAAGCACCCTGCTATTTATGTTCTGCCGGGGAAGGTGACACACCTGCCCTGGGTGTCCCAGTGGGGGATGGGCATCTGTCTGGGTGGCAGGATATCCCTGCAGCGTCAGGGGTGCCTCCTTTTCAGGATGTCCTGTTTTCCCCGAGAAGCCCACGGGCTGCTCAGGGTGATCTCGGGGACTCATGGAGCCTCAGGGAATCATTTTCACTAATAGTCTCTGTCATCCAAGATCAGTTGCTGGATTGCAGATTGCCTGGGGGAAACGGATAGAAAATGACGGTTTTAAAGCATTTCACAGACAGGCCAGGGATGAGTGTGTGCACTGGGCAGCTTAGGCAACACCCGGGAGAGGATGTTATTAGGAGGGGCAAGGGGTGAGGGAGCGGGGAGGGTCCTTTTCTCTCCTCCCTGGCCATGCTGGCCTTGGCAGAAGGGTCCTGCTCAGTGCTGCTGGCCTGGGAACCTGGCCAGGACCGGAGGCCGAGCTCTGAGGCTGGGTGGCCTTTTGGGGAGCAGTGGTTGAGGTGTCCCCCCAGGCATTCTGACAGGCATCTCCAATCCCTGTTCTCTGCCCTTCCCAAGGCCAGCTCTGTGTCCAGGGACACTGTGCTGGGGTACAGGGACAGGGCACCCTGTGGCATTGTCCTCTCTGGTGTGTGTGCATCTCATCCTGTGTGGGACTGTTGAGGAGGGAGTCCTCACGGAGCTTGAAACAATAGGAACATTGATATGGTTTGTCTCTGTGTCTCCACCTGAATCTCATCTTGTAGCTCCCATAATTCCCATGTGTTATGGGAGGGACCCAGTGAGAGATGATTGAATCATGGGGGTGGGTCTTTCCCATGCTGTTCTCATGATGGTGAGTGGGTCTCACGAGATCTGAGGGTTTTAAAAACGGGAGTTGCCCTGCACAAGCTCTCTCTCTCTCGGCTGCTGCCATGTGAGACGTGCCTTTCATCTTCTGCCATGATTGTGAGGCCTCCCCAGCCATGTGGAACTGTAAGTCCAATAAACCTCTTTCTTTTGTAAGTTGCCCAGTCTCGGGTATGTCTTTATCAGCATTGTGAAAACGGACTAATACAAATGCCTCTCTCACAGCTCTGTGGGCCAGAAGTCTGAAATGAATCTCACTGAGCCAAGATCAAGGGTGGACAGGGCTGTGCTCCCTCCAGAGGCTCCAGGGGAGAATCTGTTTCTGGCCCATCCCCGCTCCTGGGGGCTGCCAGCCTCCCTTGGCTTGTGGCTGCATCATGCCAATCTCTGCCCCCGGGTCATGTCGCCCCCTCCTCTTCTGACGTGTCCCTGTGCTTCCCTCTTGCAAGGATGCCTTGATTACATTTAGGACTCACCCGAGTAATCCAGGACAGGCTTCTCATCTCAAGAGCCTTACTGCAAGCACATCTGCAAAGCCCTTTCTTCCCATAGAAGGTACCCGTCTCAGGTTGCAGGGATCAGGATCCAGCATCTTTGGGGGCACCATGCAGCCAGCTACAGGATGTGAATGGCCCTCACGTACAAGGCTGGCCACGCAGTGCACAGCACACCCGGGAGGCGCCCGTCTGGGTCACGCGGAGGAGCAGCACTGTAGGCTTCACTTAGGCCTCCCCAGGGCATATAGCCCAGAGGCACAGCCCAGGCAGGCCCTGGTCCTGCTGCCTCCCTCACTGGACCCTCCACCCTGTCGTGTGGGAGCTCTTCCCTGCATGTCTAAGTGCCAGTCTCAGCCTGGCAGTCCTCCCCCACCGCCCGCGTTAAGGGACCTGGAGCGGCTGACTCCAAGACCACGTGCACAGAGAAGCCAACCCTGTGCTGACACTGAGGGCCTGTCTTAGCTTCCCAGAGACTGACCTTGGGACTCTGTGAAGGTTGCCACACAGTGAGAAAGACCCCGAGTCACGTGTTGAGCATGTGGTCTCTGTTTCAGACACACAGTGCCATTTGCAGAAAGACAAGAGCTGCAAACTCAGAGCCTGCAGGGCCTGGCAGGCAATGCCAACAAGGACAGCAGTGGAGGAAAAAAAGATAATTGCACCCACCCTTGGCCTGGCTTTCATTTCTCTCCTTTTGATGGAAACGTGGAGACCAAGAATACATCTCCACTAAAAAGAAACAGCAGTGGGAATGCAGCCACACGTGGTGTCCAGCCCTGGCCTTGCCATGGGCACAGGGCGTCTGGGAGGCCCTGCAAGGAGGGACAGACCCTCCTCAACTCCCTTGACCTCAATTTGGTAGAAGTTGGGTCTGGTGCAGCTGAACATCCTATCAAGAAAATCCAGACATCAGACTTTTTATGTGAACTTTCCTGATGTTAAAATGTGGCTTAAAATTTCTGGAATGAGAGGATGAACTGAGAAGGCTCCAGGAATCCAGCCACGGCGCTGAGCTCAGTGAGTCGGCAACAGCTGGCTTGGCAGGGCCCAGGCCGACCCGGGTACGAGAGACAGCCCCTATCACCATGCGAAAGGACCAGGCCTCAGGGGTCTGGGGAGTCACTCAGGAAGTGCCTGGTTGGAGACACAGAGACAGGTCCTGGCACAAGGACGCTGGCCAGGTCCAGGGCTCAGCCAGCAAATCCAGACAAAGCCCTCTTTCCACAGAAGCCTCCACATCAGCTCTCTGCCTCCAGCCCTGGGCCCTGCACACCCAGTGGGAGCTGTCATGCCTGGGGTCCCCTCCCGTGCTCACTATATAGACCAAACAAAACACGGTCCCCCATTGGCTACCCATGCTTTCTGTGATGCAGAGGTAGAAGCATCTTCTGCCCTCCTCTGTGGGCTGCTCTCCTGGGGCTCGCCCCGGCCTGGCCTTGGGACAGAGGAGGGGCAGGTGCTTCCCATCCTGGGGAACTGCTACCAGGCTGCTGTGCACACACCCTGCTGGGCTGAAGGAAGAGAAGTCAGACAGCAACGTGCCAGTGACCTTGGCTGCCTCCACCCCAGACACCGCCGGTGCCAAGCCTCTGCCTGCTGCTGTCAGGCTGCAGCATCCTCCCTGACGGGCAGACGAGGCACGCCACCACGGGAGCCTCTCAGCCTCGCTGCACCAAGGAAGGCCCTCCAGGAGACAGAGGACAAGCGCCGGCACTGGGCAGCTCCTCCATGTGGCTGAGCGTGGCTGCCACCTGCAGCCCACAGCCAGCCCTTCCCCACCAGGCCAGGAAGAGCCCCTCCTGACCCACAGTCTCCACCCTGTGACTTTGCCTTGAGTTGGGTAGGAGTTTTCCAGGCCGCAGGGGATCCTGGGGGAAGAGTGGGCGGCGGGGGTGGGGGCGGACCTCAGGCATGACAGTTCCCCCTGGGTGTGCAGAGCCCAGGGCTGGAGGCAGAGAGCTGTGGGGCAGCCTCCATGGAAGCAGCAGCCTTGAATGACCCAAGGTGGGGATGGCGCCCTCCAGTCTCACAAAGAGTTGAGTGTTTCAGCAAGCTCGTACTGGTTGCAGTGTGAGGGAGGCTGGTGGGGGAGGCTGGAGCAATGGCACAGGAGAGAGAGAGGAGCTCTGTTCTGTCAGACCACAGGACTGGGGAGCAGGCGAGACTCATCCATTCAGTGGCGAGCAGATAGCCAGCCCCACTGACACAGCGGATGTGAGGCTTGGCCCAGGTGGGGGCTGGGGGGCCCAGGATGGGGCAGGAGGGCCGTGTGCTTTGTTGGGGGGTGCCAATTTGCTGAATGCCAGGTCAGAGAGCCTTTCTGCCCTGTAGCTGTCGACGTCCATCTCAGCTTCCTGTGGCTGCTGTACCAGGTTACCCACACCTTAATGGCTTAAAACAGCACACCTGCATTCCTCACAGTTCGGGAGCTCAGAACTCTGAAATAGGATTTTAGGGGCTAAGATCAAGGTGCTGGCAGGGCTGGTTCCTTCGGGAGGCCCCAGGGCAGAATCCATTCCTGGCCCCTCCCAGCTCCTGGGGGCTGTTGGCGTTCCTTGGCTTGTGGCAACATTGCTGCAGTCTCTGCCTCCCTGGTCACGTGGCTTCTCCTCTTCTATAGCCAGCTCTCCCTCTTAGAAGGACACTTGTGATAACATTTAGGGCCCGCTGGGACCATCCAGGTTACTTTCCCCATCTCAAGACCCCTGATTTAAACACATTTGCAAAGTCTCTTCTGCCATATAAGGTAATGCTCACGAGTTTTGGGGGATTAGGACATGGACGTCCGGGGGTCATGATTCAGCTGACATGTCTAAGTGTTGAACCTTGGGTCCTAAGGGAGAATGGAGAGAGGGCTTTGGCTGGATTTGCAGGGTGAGCCCTGGACCTGGCCAGCGTCTTGTGCCCAGACCTGTCTCTGTGTCTCCAACCGGGCACTTCCCAAGTGACTCCCCAGACCCCTGAGGCCAGGGCCTCTGGCGTGGTGATAGGTGCTCTCTCTCATACCCTGGTCAGCCTGGGCCCTGCCAAGCCACTGTTGCCGACTCACTGAGTTCAGCGCCTCGGCGCTGGATCCCTGGAGTCTTCTCAGCTCATCCTCTCTTTCCACCCTGGAGCTGAGCCTGCAGCCCAGGCCCCGGGAAACCCAGGGAGAAGCACTGATTGTGAAACCCGAGGCGGCTCCGGGAGGCGTGCTTCAGGGCTGAGCGCACCCTTGGCAGACGCCGCGGCGCTCCTGTCCTCGTGCAGACCGGGCCCTTGGGATGGCTGTTGGAGATGCCAGCGCGGTGATGTGGCCCACGCGGAAGGGGTGGGCGGGGGCCGGCGCTGGGAAAGCCGAGGCTGCACATTCTCCGAGGCTGGAGTTGCCTGGGGTCAGCCGGGGAGAGCAGGAGGGGCCAGCTCCCGGGCCTGGCTGGCTCTCTGGCTGGAGTCTGCTGCTCAGAGCGCTGCCCTGTGGGTGCTTCCCACCCCCTGGGCTGTGAAGGCAGAAGCGAGGCTTGCAGCCCCAGCGAGGGCTGGGCCCCCCTTATTCCACAGTGGAGACGTGCCAGGGTGTGCTCCCCCTCCACGGCGTCTGGGCCTGGCACTCCGCCTGACAGCCCCCACGTGCGCAGCAACTCCCCTGTGCCTCCGACATAAATTTAGTCCCTGAGTCTCAGGCTTGCCCTTCCCCCGCCACCTCTCCCCTCCCGACATGGTTTCTGGTTCAGGGGTGGAGCCGACCAGGTAAATGTGGCTGGCAAGGGCCTGGATCTTTGGTGGAGCACCGTGGGCAGGTGACAAGCCTGACCCGGAGGATGGTGGCCTTGGCCCTGGCTTGGCTGCAGCCCCAACTCGAGTGCAGGGGACAGTTCTGGAAGACCGGCCAGTGGTTCTGAGGAGCTGCATTAGGGCTGCTCCCACAGATGCTTCCAGCACTAGGTGGGTGAGTGGGGTGGGCAGCGGGCAGTTTGGTGCAGGGTTCAGTGTGCTCAGCCCCACCCGGCATGCTGCTGTTGGTGCAGGGGTCAGTGTGCTCAGCCCCGCCCGGCATGCTGCTGTTGGTGCAGGGGTCAGCGCTGGTGCAGGGGTCAGCGCGCTCAGCTCCGCCCAGCATGCTGCTGTTGGTGCAGGGGTCAGTGTGCTCAGCTCCACCCGACATGCTGTTGTTCTGGCTCACTAAGGGGCCCAGAGCAGCTCACCCAGCCCCTCAGGATCTCAGAACCTGGGTGCTGAGATCTCCACTGTACCTGGGTGCAGTGGCACAGGGGCTGCTGGAATTACGCAGGGCACAGGGCGCCTGCCCAGTGCTCACTGCGACACTTGCTCTCCGTCCCCTTTCCCTCCTCTGCCTCGCCATCTTCCACAGACACAGTGAATTGATACTTTCTTTCCTTCCCTTGGATCTGTGTTGGGAATGTCCTCCAAAGAGCTTTTCGGGTTTTGCACAAGGTAACAGTCCCTGGCATGCAGACAGTACACGGCTCAGGGGTGAAGCTGTGATCTGCTCACGGGGGCATCTGGCGTTTGATCAGCAACTGTGGGCTGGGCATGCCCCCTCTTTTCAGGTCCCCAGCATGGCAGAGGCAGGCTTCTGGGAGAGAGGCATGTGTCCAGGGCATCTTTTCATGTCTGTGACATCTGTGCCTTGGATGTAGGAGCCTGCTGGCTGGGGTGAAGTTTGGGCAAGGAGCAGTGGGACCTGCTTGGGACCCAGGTGAGGCTTCCTTCATGCCCTGGCTGCCCCATGGATGACGGTGAAAGAGACATGGGCACCCTGCATAATGGGGACAAAGGGACTGCATCCCATAGTGGGTCCCTAGACAGAGGCCTCTTGGGGATAGAGAGGGGTGGGGCGACAGGTGAGAGGCGTTGGGTACCAGCATCAGGGCTGCAGAGGCAGCTGTAGGGACATCTGAAGGGGACAGGAAGCTCTTCCCCAGCAGCAGCGAGGACAGGCCTGGCTCAGAAACTGCATTTGGGTCCGAGGTCCAAACTCTGCCAGTTTGTGCCAGCCGGAGGCCTCTGACCACAGGCCCCATCTCCTCTCAGAATTCTCTGCAGGTTGGCAGACACTTCAGCCAGCTCCAAGCCTGAAATATTTTCTATAAAAATTTCCAATTTTCTTTGACCCGTTTCTCTTTGAAATTAATCCTAGGCAGCGCTGTGCTCTGGGCCCTGAAGGAGCTCTGAGCGGGGAAAGGTCGCGCAGTCAGATGGGCGTGCTGGCGTCTGTCTTCTCTCTCTCCTGCTCTCTGGCTTCATTTTTCTCTCCTTCTGTCTCACCTTCTTTCGTGTGCCTGTGCACACACACGTTTGGGACAAGGGCTGGATTCTTCGGCTGGGATGTCTCTCAGAGCTCTTGACTTGGTCCCTTTGGCTGGGGCTTGCCGTGAGGTGTGGGCTGCGCCACGAGCACAGCTGGTAGAGAACCCGGCCAGGAGCGCAGCTCACGCCTCCCACGCCTCCCATCCCAAACTGTCGGCACACCCAGAGAGAGCCTGCAGGACAGGACAGGAGGTGACCTGGGCACTGGGCCTGTGTGGAGAGGTGGCTGGTGCGCTGGTCTGGTTGGGAAAAGGCCGGGCACCTGAATGCCATGCGGGTTCATTAATGCTCAATAATAATGCTGCTCCCCAAATCATGGGGGAATAATGCTGCTCCCCAAATCATGGGGGAATAATGCTGCTCCCCAAATCATGGGGGAATAATACTGCTCCCCAAATCATGGGGGAATAATGCTGCTCCCCAAATCATGGGGGAATAATGCTGCTCCCCAAATCATGGGGGAATAATGCTGCTCCCCAAATCATGGGGGAATAATGCTGCTCCCCAAATCATGGGGGAATAATGCTGCTCCCCAAATCATGGGGGAATAATGCTGCTCCCCAAATCATGGGGGAATAATGCTGCTCCCCAAATCATGGGGGAATAATGCTGCTCCCCAAATCATGGGGGAATAATGCTGCTCCCCAAATCATGGGGGAATAATACTGCTCCCCAAATCATGGGGGAATAATACTGCTCCCCAAATCATGGGGGAATAATAGCATTAGCAGCTCTACTGCTTAGGGGGAGACTGAGGCTCAGAGAGGGCACCTTGCCTGCTGCCACAAGTGTATTTTCCTGCATTCACTCGTCACGTTCTTGCTATGTGTCCACCATGTGTCTGACAGGACTGGGTGCTGGGGCTGTAGCAGCGGAGGAACCCGATCGAGTCCCTGTTCTCTGGGCTCACAGCCCCGCAGGGGAGACCTGGTGAGCAGATGCTCGCAGACAGTGGAGAATCCTGTGAACAAAGTAAAACGGGGTGAAAGGGCAGCGTGAGAAGGCAGGTAAGGGAGGGAGGCGCCCCAGGTTGGTGATGATGGGAAAGCCCAGCCCTGGGAAGGGTGTTCCAGGCAGAGGGAACAGCACATGCAGGAGCCCTGAGGCTGGAGTTACCGCAGCGTGACCAAGGGGCAGAAGGAAGAGCTAGTACCTGGAACTGAGGACGTAATGGGGGAGTGGGAGGCGTGCAGGGCCGGGAGGGATGGGTGGCACTCATCGCTTTGAAGGGACGGTCACGGTACGGGGTGAGAATTCATTCCCTGTGCGGTGGAGGCCTTTGGAGGGTTTTCGGTGGACGGTGTGGAAGCAGGGAGGAGTCCCGGTGACAGATGGCGGTGGAGGCAGTGGGTTCAGGATGAGTTTGAGGTGGAGCTTCCGGGACGTGGTGTGAAGGAAGGAATCAAGGACACATCCTGCCCCTGAGAGGTCACGTGGCTGGGAGGCTGGCTGGTGGCCTGAGGCTGGCCGGGCAGGTGTGCTGGTGGGGGTGGCCGGGCAGGTGTGCTGGTGGGGGTGGCAGGTTAGGTGGTCTGGGCCACGTGCAGGAGTCAGAATTGGCACCCATCACTCTGACTCCACAGCTGCCCGCTTCCACTGCTCTGCACTGCCCTGGCCCAGAGGGAGGTGTTTTCCCAGGAAAGAAGGTGCCAAGGCCAAGACCCATGTGTTCCCAGACTCACGGGGCGGGGGCAGGAGCCCCCAATGCAGCCCCACAGGCAGCCAGGCCCTGGGATGCACTGCCACCTCCTCTTGCTCCGGGAGGCAGAGGCTGTGCTCTGTGGGGCGGGCTGTCAGGGACAGTGTGAGGTTTGGGGTCCCATGGACGTGTGTGCATCCTTGTTTGTCTAGCAGGACCGGTCCAGCTTCCCCTTGCCTGCCACTGTGGGGAGGGACCCCAGACTGGCCGGGATGAATGGATGCAGGAACTGTGGCCTGCACGTACTTAGGAGTGTGCAGGGCAGGGTGTGTGGCTGCCTCTAGGCCTTTGCAGGCAGAGCCTTCCTGTCCACCCCAAGGGGCCGCAGGCAGCGCTACCAGCTGTTCCCCACACAAAAGCTGCCCGAGACAGCTGGAATGCTCCCTGCTCCTGGTGCAAACTCTCTTGAAACTCAGGGGTGGGGACATCCTGGGAGCTGACCTCAGGTTCTGTTCCTGCAAATAGGTATCTGTTGCTGACCCGGCAGATGGCGGCCTGAGCCAGCCCAGACGCGCTCGAGCCCTGGCCCTGAGCAGCCATCAGGGGGCACCTACTGAGTGACTAAATGAATTAGGAAATCCCAGCGCTTAACAGACTCACCACTCGGGGCAGAGCCAGACTGGCTCCCACAGCAGCTCCTGGTTTCTCCAAATCCTCACCAGCACGGGGGCTTTAGTGTTTAATATTTTGCTGCTCCGGCAGCAAAGCGGCGTTGCTTTTTGCGCTAATTTGCGCTTCTTTGGTTACTGGCGAGGATGAGTGATCTTCCCTGGGTTTGATTACTCTGCATGTCTCCTATTCCTAAGTCCTTTGCCTGTTTATCTCCTGGGGTCTTATATATTGGGATAAGCCCTTTATCTCTTTTTAGATATTGACTTTCTGTCATGTTCGATACAAGCTTTTCCCCAGGCCGTAGTTCCTCTTTCCTTTCCAGTTTTGTTAGCGTTAGTTGCACAAAAGTCTGTTTTTCTGTAGCTGAGTCTGAATGATCCTTCTCCTGCCCCGTTGGAGCCAAGTTTGCGTTCAAGGACATGCCCATTCACCGAGGGCCTGCGCGAAGGTGGGCACTCTTCATGGTGTCATTTAATAGGCACGGTAGTCCTGGAAGCAGAGAGAAAACTAAGGTGCAGGGCTACCACTGTCCAAGCAGTAGCGGGAACAGCAGGGAGCAAGAAGAACGTGACGCGTTCCTGGAGCACTTACCGTTGACCGCGTCTGCCAGCACGCTGCAGGTACATCATCTCCTAGGATTCTTGTAATGAGCCCCACGGTGGGTTGGTGCTTTTGCTGTGCCCACGTTACAGATGAGGAAACTGAGGTGCCGACGGTCGCACAGATAGTAAGCTGTAGAAACAGTGGGAGCCAGGCCTTTTGACTCCTGCATCAGGAGGGAGGAGCAGGCTTAGAACCCAGGGCTGCTGACACCCAGTGCAGTGCCCTCCTGTCCCCGCTCAGAGCCTGGGCTGGCAAAACCCGGTAGCCTGTGACCCCATCTGTTTGTTGGACAGAGGGCCTTCCAAGCACCAAGGCCTGGAACTCCACTTAACGGCTGCAGAAACTGGGGCCCAGCGAGGGTGAGTGAGGATGTGTCTCCAGGTCACTTAGCACGTTAGCTTCGGGGAGAATCTTTTGCTTACAGTGGAATTTGCAGCATTTTGAGGAATGCCTGGCACACGGTTGGTGCGTAAATATCCGTGAAAAGAAAGAATAAGCATAGTGCCTAGGAAGCCCGGTCGCCCAGGAGCTCACTCCGGGAGCAACAGTTGCTCCCTGCAGGCATTGGAGGGCTTGGCACTGACGCCTCCTGTTGTTGCCACAGTGTCAGGGCTGCAGACTCAGGTTGGCAGCTGTGGGTGGCTACTGGTCCCATGGGCCCATGGGACATTGGGTGGCCCTGGGCCTTTGCTAGTCCCACTTCCTCACACTTGAGCAGGACTGACTTCGCCGGCTTGTGACCCATCCGGCAGGGCCCTATGCCCACTTTAACACTCTGTCATTCCTGCCTTAGAAGTCGTAATCACTTTTTGAACAAGGGACTGTGCGTTTCCATTTTGCACTGTGCCCTGCAAATCAAGTGGCCAGTGCTGTTCATCACTCTTTCTTCTGTGACTCTGCTTCCTCCCTGTGGTCTCATGGAGCTGTGGTCCAGGCCCCGAGGTTGAGGACACAGGGCACTGCACAGTGGCCAAAATTGGGGGTGCCCAGTAGACACGGGCTCCCTTCCTTCCAGGCCCAAGCACCAGCACTTTCTGACAGTTAACTGTCTGTCCTTTATTTGGGAATGTCTGATGCCAGACTGCAGATGGCGAGGAAGATGGCCCTGTCCATGCTGGAACGACAGACCCGGTATCAGGAATGTGCCCCTGTGACTGCCACAGGCCTGTTTGGTGCCTGAGGGCAGCAATGCGTGAATCCCAGCCTCTGCCCTGGGGATGCCGTCGGGCTGGAGCACTGCTCCCAGCGTGCCTTGGCCACTGTTCCCTGCGCGGTTGTCTCTGGACATAAAGCACCTGTGGAATCCCAGGGCTGCTCCCCTTCCTCTCTCCCTTGATTCATCCAACAGATCTTTACCCGGCACGCACAGCAGGACCGGGCACTGGGCCAGGCTCTGGGACCAGACAGGCACAGCCCTGACCTCATACAGCCCACAGTGCACTAGTCAGTCCACAAATACCTGCACAATGAAAGACTTGGGAAGTGCCACAGAGTGAGCCCGCAGTCACTGGACGTTGGGCTGAGGCCTGGAGTGTGGGTTGCAGTTCCCCAGGAGGAAAAGGGGCCAGGGCAGCAGATGCGAAGTACCTGAGGGGTGAGGACGGGGCTTGTTTGGGGGTGTGGCAGGAGGGGCAGGGTGAGGGCCTGAGGGGACTGGAGGTCAGATCACGATGGCTTCTGTGGGCTCCGTCGTGGAGGAGGGGCTGTGCCATGCAGCAGGTGGCATGGTCTGGTTTCCGAGGAGGGTGAGCACGGAAGAGGCAGGGAGCCGGCAGGAGGCTGCTGTCCTGTGTGCAGGGAGAGACTGCGGCCTGGATCAGGTGGCCATGGGAATGAGAGCAGCGGCCGGATCAGCCCCTCAGCGCCATCGTGCAGGAAGGGTGTTGGGAGTCCTGGTAGGCAGTCCACAGGTTGGTCAGAGGGGGATACTCCTTGCCTGGCAGAACCGTATTCCCATTCCAAATCACCGTGAGGCTGGGAGGACCCAGATCACAGCCCCACCCGGCTGCCTGTGACAGCTCCACCCCTGTCTGGACCTCAGACCTGTCGAGGTGGCGCTCGCTAGAATCATTTCCTCTGTGGGATCCGGGCCTGGGAAGGTCCCTGTGTCTGGCCCTTTTCTCAAGGACCTTTCCCAGATCATTCTGGACACATATTTGAGTCCAGCTGCAGATTCCTAGCTGCGAGCAATGCTGCCCAGGCTTGAGCCTTTTTTGGACGACTGCAGGGACTCCGTGGGGTGTGCCATGGGGGCTGCCTTCAGCCTCCTCATGCTCTGCCTTTGACAATTCACGTGGCAGGAGCTGGGGCCGAGGCTGGGGTGGCCAGGCTTGGAGGGATGGAGTCAGGAGAACAAAGGGCTGAGATGGCTCTGCAAGTCTGGCCAGGCGACGTCCAGCAGGGCAAAAAGGACTAGGTGCTGCCCAAACCACAGCAGGAGCACCTGGTGGGCTGCGGGGAGGAGCTCAGGGGTCAAGTTGACGAGGAGTTCAGTACACATTGTCTGGGTTGGCGGGGGGCGGTCTGGGGGGGTCAGGCTGGGAATAAGAAGCATGATGGCCTGCTCAGGTCTGCCCACCCAAATCAGAGCCCACAGCCATGGGCAGTCCCAGCCCCAGCGTGTGCAGAGGGCTCTGGAGGGCAGAGCTGGATAACACTGGCCCCAGGAAGGCCAGAGCCCCCAGGATGAGAGCATCTGTCCTCTCAACCTTGCCTGGAGCCTGGGGGTCAGGCGTTCGCTGAGGACAGTGGTCTCGTATGGGCACACTGATGGGGGCCTGGCAGGTGACGCCAGCAGAGATCACTGGGCCCAGGTAGACACGGGGTCGGCCAGCAGCAGGAGGGCCTCCAATTTTATAAGAGAAGCTGGAAATTGATTTTACTTACAATCTCTTCATTTTAAACTGTTGGCAGCTAATTCAAAATTTGTGAAAGCCGTGTAAGGGTTGAGCAGCCCGGGGCAGTGGCCGGGATGGGGGTCAGGAGGCGGCCTCAGTGCTGGGGACCTTCACTGGAGCCCACGGCGCTCAGGACCGAGCTTCTTGGATGTGGCCAGGGCTGCCTCGGAGTTGAAATGTACTTCAGAGGAATTTTTATTTTCCTTTCGGGAATGTCAAGAGAGGCCTTTCCAGCGGTTCCGTTTCTGTGAGGCGAAACCTGCGGTCGTCCTGTTGTTCTTGGAGGCAGCGATGAAGCCCATCTGTAGCGCATCAGCGGGAGCCAGCAGCGGGGAGGGCGCAGGGCCCCAGCCCAGGCAGACAGAGCTGTTGGATGCGGCACTGAGGGAGCAGGCGTGGCGCCGGGTTCGGAGCAGCCCCTGGACTCCCCGGGCTGGGCGGACAGACCCCCGGCTGGTGCATCTGGTGCCCAGTTCCGGGTCTGAGGTTCTGTTCCCCGGGCTCCCGGCACCTATACCCGTGCCTGGATGTCCTCCAGGCCCCCGCAGCCTGGAGAGCAAACGGCCGATGATGGTCTCAAGAGGGTTCTGCCCTTGTGTCCAGAACGTCAGGTGCCTGTGCTCCTTTGTTCTAGGCAATATCCCGGGAGCTCCCAGCATTCTTGGCCTTCATCACCACGAGGACAAAGCTGGGCTTGGATTTGTCCCGAGGCCTTGAACTGGGAAGGAGTGTGGGGACTCACAGGCCTGTAGGAACCACCTCGGCCACCTTTGAAACTCACAATGTGGGCCCTTGGTGACAGAGACCCCGGGGACCAGGCCTGGGCCTCCCTTTCTTGGTGTCCTTGGTGCTCCCCATGGGCTGTGGTGACCCCAGTGATGGGCCAGGCAGCCGGGGCCGCCAGTGTGGGCCTGGCCTGCGGAGTCCTTGCTCTGGCCTGACCTCAGTCTTCTCGTCTGTATGTACATCGGGGTGCTGGACTAAAGCCAGGCCTCAGCCCTGCAGCTCTTGGGCGGCCTCGCCGCCCCACCCCGCAATGTTTTATTTGACTCGTACAACGGCTTCAGAAATGTTGAGTGTACACTTAAAAATCAGGAGGTTTCACATGAAAATCTCAATTTTCAGTTCCTTCAGAAGGCCTGGCCACCCTGGGCGTGTTCCTGCCAGCAGCACTGGGTGGGAGGCTCTGTGCCTCCTCTGGATGGGCGAACACAACCCCTCCCTCCCTGCCGATTCGTGCCTGGCCCCCCCACTCATGCTGGCCCCGCCTGCCTGGTTTGCAGTGGAGTGTGAGACTCCTGGACTCTGGTTGGTAGTTACACGTACATAAACTCTCTCCGTCTCTCTCTCCTCTCTCTCTCTCACACACACGCAGGCATGCACACACCCATGGTCAGAGCAGACACATCCACATCTTCATCCATGTAGGAAATGCTGGAGTGAACCGAGCCGCACCCAGGAGCTTCCCTGAGCTGGGCACCAGGAGCCCAGGGTCTGTCCTGTCTCTGGATGAGTCCTGCTGCCTTGGCCTCAGCTGAGGCCTCAGGCCCAAAGCTCCATGGCAGGCCTGACACTATTTTCCTTATAATAAGCCCCCGTCCTCTTTCCTGTTGGGCACCCGTGTCCCCAGGGGCGGGTCACAAGATGACAACTTGGGACCTGGCGGCTTACTGTTCTGTGGGCTGAGCTGGCTGCTGGGCCCTGTGCGAAAGGCACCTGTGCTCCCACCTGAAGGAGCCTGGGGCCTCTGCTCTGAGGGCAGAACAAGACCCTCCCGGTCTCCCTGTGGGAAGAAGGACCGTGTCAGAGACGCTGTCCACGGTGGACCAAGGCCAAGCTGCGGGAGAGGCTGGGGACAGAGAAGGAGACTGGTGGGTACCTGCCCATGCTCATGTGTTGGGGGTGTAGGCAGACCCCAGGGCCTACCAGAGCAGCCAGTGGGGAGCAGCCAGTTCCTAGGCCCAGCAGCATCTGTGCAAAGGGGTCCAGTAGGGTCACAGTGCCCGAATTGTGTCACACACTCCAGGGCTGCCCAGCCCTGCCTGCTGCTGCAGAGCCCCTGATCCCCGAGGATGAAGACACCAGGAAGGAGCAAGAAGTGGCCCCTGTGCCATCAGTGTCTGTGCCGTGCCACCCCTGCTTGGGGGCACATTGGTTTTCCACATGGTGTCCTTTGAATGGAGGTGAGGCGGGCCCCAGCCAGGCCATAATCTTGGGAGACGGCTCTACCTCAGGGCTTTGCTGACCCCATTCTGAGTCAGGCCCCAGCCAGGTCTTGGGAGATGGGACAGAAAGTGAGGGGACCCCAAGATTGAATTGTAGGAAGGATCTGAACTCACTGGTGGAGGCAGAGAGGGAAGATGGGGATGAGGCTGATGGAAATGCAGTCTGCTCACAGGCACAAAGGCCACATCGGCAGCCCTAGCCCTGAGCCCACCCCACAGTTCCTGACCCCCAATCCTCACCCTCTAGAGATGACCTGTGGTCAAGCATGACCGATTCTGCCCCAAAAATGTGTATAAATGGCAACAGTGACAAATGACGCTGCTATGGTCTTGCCTCTGACTTTGTTACCCGGTTCACTTGCCATGGATGTGAAGGATTCACTTTCCAGTATCAGAGTCTTTCTGTCTACCCATTCATCCATCTATCCAATCATTCATCCATTTATCCATCTGTCATCCGTCCATCCATTCATCTATCCAATCATTTATCCATTCATTCATCCATCGTGTATTCATTCGTCTACCCACTCATTCATCCATCCATCTATCCATCCATCATTGATCTCCATTCATCTACTTACTCATCCATCTACCCATCCCCTATCTACCCATCCATCCATCCAATTATTTATCCATTCATTCATCCATCATCCATCCATCCATCCATCATTCATCATCCATTCATCTACACACTCATTCATCCACCCAATCCATCCATCCATTCATCCAGTCAGTGTCTGCAAGCACCCCAGGCCAGCGCCCTGCTGGGCACTGAGTATGAACAATCTGGTCTCTGTCCCTGAAGAGTCTGGCTGGGGGAAAAGGCAGACTCCCAGATGAACCATGACAAATGCTGCTAATAGGCTGCTTGGCAGCCCTTCCTCATTGTGCCCTGTTGTGTTTCTTTCAGCCAAAATATATTTCTGTGCATCTTTGACGCCATCAACAGTTGATAGGAGAGTCAGGCAGAGGGGGCTATGGGCTTCAGGGACAGTGAGAGGGAGTGTGTGTGTGACCTGGTAGCTTAGAGAATATTCTTGTGGGCTTAATCTGCACGCCCCCCCGACTTCACCCATCTGGGCCTCTTCTGACCTCCTACAAGCATTTGAGTTGCTTCCTCTGACCTTTTAAAAATCAATGGACTATAATACATATGAGTATGAAAGTGTGTAATCCAGTGGTTTTTGGCAGTGTTGTGCAGCCATCATCACCATCTAGTTCCAAAATGTTTTCATCACCCCAGTGGGAACCCTGCACCCAGAGCAGTCACTCCCCATTCCCCTTCCCAGCTCATAGTGACCACTAATCTACTCCCTGTGTCTTTGGATTTGCCTATTCTGTATACTTCATAGAAACCCAATTGATAATATGTGGCCTTTGGGGTCTGGCTGGAGTCCTTCTAAGGATTGATCTAAAAGCTCCAGGGCCCCTTGTCATGGGAGCATCATATGCCCAGCGACATGAATATAAAATAATAATACTGCATAATTCCAGAATAGGCAGCAGCGTGTGTGTATGAAGCTCGGGACTGTGAGACAGGAGGGAGAAGTGGGGACTGTGGTTAAAACAGTCCAGAGTGCCTCTTCCTAAGGGAGGCCCCTCCTAGTTCCTGCAGTGAGATCCGTGTTGACACTGAAGTGGCCTTGTGCCCTGCTGCCCCGCCCTGGGATGGCATATATTAGAGGGGGCTCCGATCACCTCTGAACTGGGAAATGTGGAGTAGTGCAGGACACAGCAGCAGGAACCACAGCTCCCAGCCCCACCCCAGAGAGAAAGGCCCATGAGCAGCTGGTGCAGGGACTGGACTGGAGCCGATGATCAGATTTGGAGTTGGTGTGGACATGGCGTGTCACCTCTCAGGAGAGGGGGCAGGAAGTGAGGAGCCTGAGGCCAAAGGGTGAGAAGGGTCTGAACTCACTGCTGGAGGGGCATGTGTGTCCCCAGGGTTGCAGCCTGGCTGGGGCAGCCAGCACAGTGGTGACAGGACAAATTAGAGAAAAAGGGATGCCTTTTTTTTTTTTTGAGATGGAGTCTCACTTTGTTACCCAGGCTGGAGTGCAGTGGCTCGATCTCGGCTCACTGCAGCCTCTGCCTCTCGGGTTCCAGTGATTCTCCTGCCTCAGCCTCCCTAGCAGCTGGGATTACAGGCATGTGCCACCACACCCCCCGAATTTTTTTGTATTTTTTGTAGAGATGGGGTGTCACCCTGTTGGTCAGGCTGGTCTCGAACTCCTGGCCTCAAGGGATCCGCCCACCTTGGCCTCCCAAAGTGCTGGGATTATAGGCCTGAGCCACTGCGCCCGGCCGGGATGTCTTTTTTTATAAGACAAATTATAAAGGAGAAAAAAGGACAGAAAAACCAAGACAAATTGAGATCATAGAGTAAGATGGGAGAAACAAGCCCAGATTTATCAATAATCCAGGTAAATGTAAATGGATTAAACTCACAAATTCAAAGACAGAGGCTGTCATATCTGACAAACGAGACAAACCCCAAATTCAAAATCTGGCTGGACGCTATCACCAGAGTAAAGTGTAAAGGCAAGAAAAAGTGGAAAGTAAAGTATGGAAACAGACCTATCAGGCCGCCAAAGGCAAGCCGACATTGCTGTATCAATCTCAGACTCAACAGACCTCAAGACAGGAGACGCTGCTGGGGAAAGACAGGTCACCGTTTAATGAGAAAAGGTTCATTTCCCCAAGATGATAAAGCAGTTCTAAAGGTAGAGTCACTTAATAAAATAACCTCAACATATTTGACGTGAACTTTGTTAGAAATAGAGAAATTGACAAATTTATCATCATTTTTGAGAGAATCCAACCATTTTTTTCCAATTGGTGTTGGATCAAGTAGACAAAAAACCCAGCACAGATAAGGAAGTTCTAAATAACACAAATAATAAGCTTGACATTGATGAATTTTGCATCTGACAAGTAGAGGTTATTTCTTTTTCTCAAGCACATAGGAAACACTTGTAACAACTGGTCAATTAAGTGCAAATCTCACAGAAACTAAAAGAATAGTGTCAGCAGGTCTTGTTCCCTGACCATCATGCCTGTGAGAGAGAAATTAATAGCCCCCAAAGCAAAAATCCCCATTATTTGGAAATTTAAAAAAAATACTTTTAAATAATTCATGGGTCAAAGAAGAAATAATAGTGGAACTTCAAAAATACAACTCAATGATAATAAAAGCACTAAATATCAAAACGTGGATGGAAATTTACATTAGAAAAGAAAAAGGTCTAAAAATTAAAGAGATAAATTTCCAGTGTGAGAAGTTAGAAAAAGGCAACATTGATCCAAAGAAAATAGAAGGAAAAAGATAATACAAAATAAGATCAGAAATCAGTGAGACAAGGCCAGGTGCAGCAAAGTGCCTATAATCCCAGCATTTTGGGAGTCTGAGGCGGATGGATCACCTGAGCTCAGGGGTTCGAGACCAGCCCGGGCAAAATGGTGAAACCCCATCTCTACCAAAAAAATCTAAAAATTAGCTACACGTGGTGGCATGCACCTGTGGAACCAGCTACTTGGGAGGCTGAGGCAGGAGAATTGCTTGAGCCTGGGAGGTAGAGGTTGCAGTGAGCTGAGAGTGCACCACTGCACTCCAGCCTGGGTGACAAAGTCAGACCCTATCTCAAAAAAAAAAAAAAAAGAAAAGAAAAAGAAAAAAAAATCAGTGAGACACAAAACCTCTGAGTTCTGATCATTGTTGCTGTTAGGAAGATTCGGGGTCAGTGTTGCCAGATCCTCAGTTTTTCAAGATAAGTCAAAAATAGGTAATTCTGCAGACAATCTCTGCATTAAAAAAAAAGTGTCAGTAATCTGAATTTGGCCTGTGCACGTCTTTCCTCCCAGAGCTGCTTCTGCACACAGCACCTCCTCTCTGGGCCATCTTCTCTGTGGCCAGCTTCTCCTCGATGGCCATTTGTGGACAAGTCTTTGTGTGTACATATATGTTCATTACTCTTAGGTATATGCCTAGGAGAATTGCTGGCTCACATGATAACACAGTGTTTCACTTTTTGAGGAAACACCAAGACTGTTTTCCAAAATGTCCTGCACGTAGTGTCCCTCCTGGAGGGCCGGGGCTAGGTCACCATACACAGAACACGCAGAGACACCCCAGAAGGCCAATTCTTGTGTCTAGTTAGCAGGGACCTGTCTCTGTGGGGTGGGGGGCTGCTGGTTTCTGACTCTCATCTGCAGACCCCTCAGGCACTGGCCTCGTTGTTTAATTCATAAATTGGGGAGGTGATGGAGGGGGTCTGAGGCCTGCTTTTTTGGTGGCAGAGTAATTTCTACATTGGGTCCTTGCTGAAGTAGGTCACCATCAGGCAGAAATACGATTCCTGAGACTTTTTGGAGATAACAAGTTCAAACCCTGCCTGGCTGGGTTTCTAGCAGCTCTGCTTCCAGTACCGTGTGGATGTCATTTTCACTTACGCTGTCTCACAAGGGCATGGGTGGAAAGAACTCTGTTTCTAGGTAAGGGATGGAAGGCTCAGAGATGGCACAATTAGAAAGTGGAGGATCTGGGATTTGAACCCAGGCCCGCCTGATGCAGAATTGGGCTCTTTCTGCTACACTAGCTTCAGGTGCCGGCTGAGCCCTGGGAGGGAGGAGTGAGCAAATGCATGAGGCTTTGCCTTTGCCGAGGCAGGACAAGCTGAAGAGGTCTTTCTCCTTCCCTAGAGTGAGCAGGATCTCTGGACTTCTCTCCTGTCTAGTGTTTCAGCTGGGGCTCCACTGGCGGAAGCAATGTGCGGGCAGGATGCGTGATGCCTGTGGGTGGACAGTGCCACTGTCAGAAGACAAGCCGAGGCTGCTATGGGAGGGCGTTAGAGGGTGACATTGGCCTCCCATCAGCCAGGTTTCGAAAGTTAGGAGCAGATGTACAGGGTTTGTCACCCAACTACTTGCTCCCCTTCTTGGTTACCGCATGACCAACCCAGTGGCCTCCCAGGGCCTTGCGCTACACAACACTGGACAGCCAGAAAGCAGGTAATGCTGCGTCACCCACAGAGGGTTGCCTGGGGCCTGGGCTGGGCTGGAAATGGCTCTGAGAACAGAGGTAAGGAGTAGATCATTGTTTAATCTTTCCTTTATGGTGGGTTTATTGAGCTGTAATTCACATATGCTGTAGTTCAGCGTTTCGGGCGCATAATTCCATAATTTTTACTATATTCACTCAGCTGTGCAACCATCACCACAGTCAACTTTAGATCATTTTCATTGCTCCCAAAAGAAACCCTGTACCCACGAGCCATCATTCCCCATTTTCCCTCAAGAAGTGTTACTTCTTCCTTTGCAATGTGGATGCCTTTTATTTATTTATTTTTTTCTTGCTGAATTGCTCTGACTAGAATGTCCGGTACTATGTTGAATACAGGTGGTGAGAGCAGGCTTCCAGTCTTACAGTTGACCATGATGAGTACTTTTGGCTTTTCGTAAATACCCTTTATCATGCTGAGGAATTTCCCTTCTAGTCCTTGTTTCTTGAGTATTTTTTGATCACAAAGGGTGTTGGGTTCTGTCTAATGCTTTCTCTGCATCAACCAAGATGACTGTGTGGTTTATTTTCCTCCATTTTATGAATGTAGTATATTATATGGATTGATTTTTGTGTGTTGAACCACTCTTGCATTCCACGGATAAATCCCACTTGGTGATTGTATATAAGCCTTTTAATATGCTGCTGAATTTGGTTTGCTAGAATATCATTGAGGATTTTTGCACCTATATTTATAAGAGACATTAGTCTGTAGTTTTCTTATGATGTTTTTGTCTGGTTTCGGTATCAGGGTAATGCTGGCCTCATAGAAAGATGGATATTAATTCTTTAAGTGATAGGTAGAATTCCCAGTAAAGCCATCTGGTCCTAGGTTTTTCTTTATTGGGAGTTTTTGATGACTGATTCAAGCTCTTTACTTGTTATAGATCTGTACAAATTTTCCATTTCTCCTTGAGTCAATTTTGGTAGTTTCTGTGTTGCTAGGAATTTGTCCATTTCTTCTAGGTTATTTAATTTGTTCGTATACAATTGTACATAATATTCTCTTATAATCATTTTTATTTCTATAAGGTCGGTAGTAATGTCCCCACTTTTGTTTGTGATTTTAGTAATTGGAGCCTTCTCTCTTTTTATCTTGGTCAGTTTGGCTAAATGTTTGTCAGTTTTGTTGATCTTTCAAAGAACCAGCTTTTGGTTTCATTGAGTCTTCTTATTGTTTTTCAATTCTCTATTTTGTCTACCTTCACTATAATCTTGATTATTTCCTTTTTTCTGCTAGCTTTGAGTTTCTGTTGCTTTTCTTCTGGTTCCTTCATGTGTAAAGTTAGGTTATTGATTTGAGATCTTTATTATTTTTAATGTAGGAATTTGAAGCTATAAATATTCTTCTGGGCACTGCTTTTGTATGTCCTTTAAGTTTTGGGTATGTTGTGTTTTTATTTTCATTTGTCTCAAGATTTATTATTTATTATATATTCTAATTTATCTTGTAACATATTACCTGACCTAATGGTTCTTTAAGAGAATATTGTTAAATTTCTACATATTTGTGAATTTTTAAAGGGTTTCTTCTGTCATTGATTTCTAGTTTTATTCCACTGTGGTTGGAGAAGATGCTTTGTATGGTTTCAGTCTCTTTAAGGTTATTGAGACTTGTTTTGTGACCTAACATATGACCTATCCTGGAGAATGATCATCATACATGAGAAGAATACACATTCTGCCGCTGTTGAGTGGGGTGCTCTATGTATGTCTGTCAGGTCTAGTTGATTTACAGTGTTGTTCATGTCCTCTATTTTCTTACTGATCATGTGCCGGTTGTTTTATCCATTTTTGAAAGTGGAATATTGAAGTCTTCAGCTATTATTGTAAAATGGTCTATTTCCATCTTCAATTCTGTCAGTTTTTGCTTCATAGATTTTGGGATTCTGTTGTTAGGTGTGTTTATGTTTATAATTGTTATATCTTCTTGGTGGATTGACTCTTTCATCAATATATAATGCTGTTCTTTGTTGTAAAATTTTTGGACTTGAAGTCTATCTTGTCTGATATTAGTATGGCCATCCCAGGTCTCTTCTGGTTTCTATTTGCATAGCATTTCTTTATCCATCTTTTCATTTTCAAACTATTTGTGTATTTTGAATCTAAATTTGGTCCCCTGTGGATAAGCATATAGTTGGATTATATCTTGGGATTTTTTAATCCATTCTCCCATTCTCTGAATTTTAATTGCAGCATTTAGTCCATCTGTATTTAAATAATTACTGATAAGGAGGGACTGAATTCTGCTATCTGCTATTTGTTTTGTATATGTCATATTCTTTATTCCTCAATTCCTCAAATATTTCCTTCTTTTGTGTTTAACACATTGTTTTTTAGTGTACTGTTTTGATTCATGTTTTCATTTATTTTGCTGTATATTTAAAAGCTATGGTCTTATTGGTTATCCTGGGAATTACAGCTATTATCTTAAACACATAACAATTTTGTTTGAATTGATATCAACTTAGTGTCAATAGTATACAAAATGCTTTGCTCCTATACAGCTCTGTCTTCCCCACCCTTTATTATAATATTGTTACATTTCATACATGTGTGTCTATTAATGTAGATTTATAATTATTGCTTTATGCATCTATAGACTAAATCATATAGGAAAAAAGAGAAGAGTTACAAACGAAGATTTTGGGGTTCCCTTTATTAGTATTCTTCATTTCATCATATGGCTTTGAGTTACTGTCTTCTGTCCTTTTATTTCAACCTGAAGGACTTTCTTTAACACTTATTGGAGGGCAGGTCAACTAGAAAACAAACTCTCTCAGTTTTTGTTTCTCTGAAAGTGTCTTAATTTTTCTTGTATTTTTGAAGGATAGTTTTGTTGGAATTTTTAGCCGCAGGACAGTATTTTTTTCAGCACCTTAAATATGTCATCCCGTTGGTTTCTGGCCTTTATTGTTTCTGATGACAAATCAGTTGTTAAGCTCATTGAGAGCCCTTGTATATGTGGCAAGCTGCTCCTCTCTCGTGGATTTCAAGACTCTCTTTTTGTCTTTGTCTTTTGACAATTTGATTACAATGTATCTTGATGTAACTCTTTGAGTTTTCAAACTTGGAGTCATTGAGCTCCTTGGATGTGTAGAATCATGTTCTTTTTATCAAATTTGGGGAATTTGGAGCCATTGTTTTTTCAAACATTCTTTATGCCCCTTTGTTTCTCTATTCTCTTTCTTGAACTCTCATTTTTTGTATTTTGGTGTACTTGATCTCTTAGGTTCTGTTCCTTTTTCCTCATTCTTTTTCCTTCTACTTCTCAGATTGGATGATTGCTGATAATGTAAGTTTGCTGATTCTTTGTTTGCCTGCTCAAATCTGCTATTGAACTGATCTATTGAAATTTTTATTTCAGTTATTATGCTTTTCAGCTCCAAAATTGTTTGTGGTTCCTTTTTATAATTTCTATTTCTTTATTGATATTCTCTATTTTGTGATACATTATGTTCTTGCTTTACTTACGTTATTTGCCCATGGTTTCTTTTAGTTCTTTGAACACATTTAAGACAATTTATTTAAAATCTTTGTCTGGCACATGAGGTGTCTAGGCTTCCTCAGGGAAGGTCTTTTTTATTTCCTGTGAGTGGACCATCCTTTCTTGTTATTTTGCATACTTTGTATTTTTTGTTGGAAACTGGACATTTTGAATGTGGAGACTCTGGAAATCAGATGCCCCCCACTTCCCAGGGCTTGTTGTTTTTTATGTGTTGTTGCTTGTTTGTTTAGTGATTTTTCTAAACTATTTTTGTAAAGTCTGCATTGTTCATTATATATGGCCACCAAAGTCTCTGTTTTGTTAGCTTAGTGGTCAGCTAGTGATTTGACAGAGACTTTCTTAAAAGCCAGGGTAGGAAGAAATACTCTCCTCGTCTTTGTAGATTGGTTCTGTGTTTGAGCACACCTTTGATGCTTAGCCAGACTGTTTACAACTCTGTCTTAGCCTTCACTTCCTACTTGTACAGACCCTAAATGTCAGCCAGAGGTGAAAACTTTTGAGTCTTCTTAGACCTTTTCTGAGCATGCATCTCACCCTAGACATGTCAGTGGTAGAATCCTAGATTCTCTGGTATGCACAAGAGCTTTCCAAAAACCTTATTTCCTCAAATATCTCCTTCCCTACCCTCTTCCTCCCCAAGCCTTTAGATATGTTTATTGTGCGTCTTGCCCCAACTATTGTCCTGTGCCCCAGGTGTCTGCAGCTAATACATTTACCTTTAAATACTTTTGACAAACACTGTCTGGGAAACCACTTCAGTCCTGGGGAAGCTCCGAGACAGTTGAAACAAAGGCAAGCCAGCAGATGGGTTAAAACCCACAACCACAATTCTCTGGATATAAGGTCCATATTTCTTTCTTTTGAGTTTTCAAACTGGGAGTCATTGAGCTCCTTGGATGTGTAGGTTGGTATCAGCAACCTACACCAGGAATGTGGTCTGCCATCTTCATGGCCACTGCTGAGTTGGAGAATAAGATAATGGTAAGCAAGTAAATTAAAACACCATAACCCACTGTCACCAAAATTCAGTAGCTGCTTTCTTCATTAAGCATTCCCTGGTTGTTGTAGGTTTCTGGTTAAATTCTGGAGTTCCAAAAAAGTCGATTCTGAGATTTACTAGCTTATTTCCTGTTTTTGTGGAGGGGCAGAATTTTGGAGTCCTCTATTCTGTCACTTTGGTGATGTCCTCTCCCTTGTCGTATGCATCTTATCAGAATCTTTAGATTTATATTAACTTAATTCCTGTGAGCTATAGAAACATTACTCTTATATAGCTCTATTCTTCCACCCCCATCTTTGTTTTTTTTGTTTTTTTTTTTTTTTTTTTTTTTTTTTTTTGAGACGGAGTCTCGCTCTGTCGCCCAGGCTGGAGTGCAGTGGCGCGATCTCGGCTCACTGCAAGCTCCGCCTCCCGGGTTCACGCCATTCTCCTGCCTCAGCCTCCCGAGTAGCTGGGACTACAGGCGCCCGCTACCACGCCCGGCTAATTTTTTGTATTTTTAGTAGAGACGGGGTTTCACCGTGTTAGCCAGGATGGTCTCGATCTCCTGACCTCGTGATCCGCCTGCCTCGGCCTCCCAAAGTGCTGGGATTACAGGCGTGAGCCACCGCGCCCGGCCCACCCCCATCTTTGTACTGTTCTTGCTGTGCAACTTGTGTTGGTTTTTGATTGCTGCGGTAACAAATTACCACAAATTTAGTGGCTTAAATAATGCAATGGTATTATTTTGCAGTTTTGGAAGTCAGAGTCTGAAATGAGTCTCACTGAGTTTAAATCAGGGTTTTGGCAGGGTTTTGTTCCTTCTGGGTCCTCCTCCGGGGAGGATCTGTTTCCTTGCCCTTTCCAGTTTCTGGAGGCCACCTGCATTCCTTGGCTCATGACTTCTGTCCTTCGTCTTTTATGCCAGCAACATCAGGCCAAGTCCTTCCCGTGCAGCCATCCCTCCAGTTTCTCTCTTCTGCTTCCCCCTTCCCCCTCTATGGACCCTTGTGATTACACTGGGCCCATCTGGCTAATCCAGGATAATTTCAATATTTTAAAGTCATCTGATTTACAATGTTAATTTTCCTTTACATATAACCTTACAGATAGATAGGTTCTGGGGATTAGAATGTGAACATCTTTGGAGGGCCACAGTTCTGCCTACCACACAGCTATATATGCTACAAACCTAACAATTGTTGTAATTATTGCTTTATATAATTTCATGCTTAAAGAAGCTGAAAAAAGAGAGGAGAGTACATATATATCAACAGTTTGCCTTCCTGTTGACCATTTCTGGCTCTCTTCATTTGTTGCGGTGGATTCAAGTTCCCATCTGGTGTCATTTTTTTACTCCAGTAGCTGTGTTTCTGTTCACCTGCTTTGTGCTGTTAGTCAAATATATTACATTTATATATTATATGGGCCCAATAATACAATTATATACATCTTCTTCTATATTATTGCTTTTTAAGCCAGTTAAGGGAAGAAAAGAGAAGAAATACCCATTTATATTGTCTTTTAAAGTTGCGTGATTACCTTTACTGGTACTGTATGTGTGTGGGTGTGAATTCAAGTTACCAACTGAGGTCACTTGCTTTCAGCTTGAAGAACTTCCTTTAGTATGTCTGATAAAATGGGTCTACTCATAATTCTCTGTTTTTACTTATCTGGGACTGTCTATATTGCACCTTAATTTTGAAAAATAGTTCTGCTGGAGAAAGATTCTTGGTTGACAGCTTTTTTACATTGGATATGCCATTCTGCTGCCTTCTGGCTTCCATTATTAGGAGAAGTCGGCTGGAAATCCCACTGGGATTCCCACATATGTGGCAAGTCATTTTTCTTTTGCTGCTTTCAGAATTTTCTCTTTGTCTTTGGCTTTCGGCATTTTTACTATGATGTCTCTGGGTGTGGATCTCTTGGCATTTATCCCGTTTGAAGTTTGCTGAGTTTCTCGGACACGTAGGTTAATGTTTTCACCAAATTTAGGGAGCTTTTTGCCACTGTTTCTTCCATCTTTTCTGCTCCTTTATACTCACTTGCCTCTTTCTGGGACTCCCATTGTGCATATGTTCATGCCCTTTATGGTTTCCACATTTTTCTTAAGTTCCGTTTACTTTTCTTCATTCTTTTTTCCCTGTGTCCTTCAAATTGCATAATGTCTATTGATCTGTTTTCAAGATTCTTTCTTCTGCCAGTTCCAATCTACTGTTAAGCCTCTCAGTTATGGTGCTTTTCAACTCCAGAATTTCCATTTGGTTCTTGTTTATAATTTCTCTTTATTGATAGTCTTTATTTGATGAGATATTGTCATCATCACTCCTTTACATAAGCATGGTTTCCTTTTTTCAAAGACATATTTCCAATGGCTGCTTTGAAATCTTTGCTGCAAAATCTGACAGCTGTTACATCTGACATCTGGGCTTTCTTACCAGCAGTGTCTGTTGCCGCCTTTTTTTCTGTGAATGAGTCATTTGTGTTTCTGTTGTGTGAAACTGGACATTTTGGGTCATGTGGCAGCTCTGCATACTGATTCCCCTCCCCCATCTCTGAGGCTGTTTGCAGTTGTTTGTGTATTTATTTGTTTCCTGATTTGGTTAGACTGTTTTCACAAAGTCTGTATTCTTCACAGTGGGAAGCCTCAGCTGTTGGAGGGCACAGCCTTGAGCGTGTGCAGGGTCATCCCGGGATGACAGTGATTTCAGCAGGGCTCCCTATGACTGTCCCTTTCTCTGATCTGTCTGTTACACTCTCTGCTTCATTTGGTATCACACCCAGCTACTAGGCTTCACTAATTGAGGGATGATTGCTCTATTATTTTCAACAATGTCCTGAGACATAAATTGTCACATAGTTTGATCCAATTAAATTTGGGTAGGGATGATTTTGAGGCCAGTCTTTGAAATTCATTCTCCCCCTGGAAGAGATCCTCATAACGATCTGTTCTCCTGATTTTTTTTTTTTTTTTCCAGTAAATAAGCTGGTCTGTGGTTCAGGTTGTTGTTCTCATAGAGCTGTCAGCCTCCTCTTAAATTCTTGCCGCCAGAATCTTCACTGAAGCCACCACTCCAGGTATTGGGCAGGAGGTAGCCTCTGATCTTCTTGGTTTGCCTCCCCCTAGCATGGAATATTTTTCTAGCAAGCAGGCTGGACTTAGGGTGATTAGGAGCCCAGCACTCTCGCCCTGCTGCACCTGAGACGGAGCTCCTGCCCTGAGTTAGGGCTGGGTGGAGGAAGGTGCTCCGGCCTTTCGGTCACACTCAGCAGGGAGTTACCCTCTGTCACTGGGAGTTGGAGATGATGAGAAACGCTGGTGGCCCATCTATCCTGGTGAAATACTGTATTCCTTGACTGGGATCTGAGGGAAGAGGGAGCCCTGTGTTCTTGGCCACACACCCCCAGAGTGGAACTCCCCATAAGCTGAACTGGAAGGACTAGAAGCGGGGAAGAGAGAGCAAGTGATGGCTCAGGTGCCACCGATTCTTGCTGTTCTTACTGGGATTTTTCTTCCCAAGATTTGGTTGATTTTCTTGAATAGATGATGTTGCTTAGTTTGTTGTGTGCTCTTAGGATAATTTCTAGAGACTTTAAATTGTTGTTGATGGTGACTTTTCAATACTTTTCACCAGTTATGGTTGTTCTGAGGGGAATGTGTCCATGGGGCTCCTCTCACCACCATTCCAGAAGTGGAATTCTCATGGCAGATGATTCCTAATCTTTTTTTAAAGGGCCACAGCAATAAGGAAGGTAGAAGACACTGGATATGTCAGGGTCATTCAAGGTATAATTAGAGATCCAAATCCAATTAAGCCAAGAAAAGGAGATTTGCTGGCACACGCGAGCAAGACAGCAGGCACCGCTGGCCCACACGAGGCTGCCAAGGCTCAGCGTCTCTCCTCCTCCTAGGACTTGGCTCTCTTCTGCAGAGACTTCCTTCTCAGATTGGCTCTTCACATACGCAGCCCCAGGCCTACGCTGTGAGCTTACTGAGCCAGGAAGGGAATATTTTTTTCTCCCAATGTTCAGATCTCATGGAAGACCCATGATTAGTCTCACTCCAGTCATGTGTTCACCCCCTGGACCAATCACTGTGCTGAGGGCATTGAGTACCAGGTGTGGGCTATGTGCCCCCCCACCACAGCCACTGGGGAGTAGCATGGGCATGAATTACCCATCCACCAGAGACACATTGGGTGGGGCAAGGCCCTTCCCGCTGGCGGAAAGGGGCTACTGGTGTGAAAAATCAACAAGATGGTCCCCCACTTGCCCCTTTTAAAAAATGCGTAGAGATAGGTACACACACTATTTTGCCTATAGTTTATTTTAATGCACTGTAAATCTCTTCGACATACTCAGAACTTAAAAAGAAACTTCATGTGCATTATCTCTTTTGACTACACTTTTCCTGCAAAAATGGTCACTTCCTGAAAAAGTGAAATAAATTCAAATTGCACAAGTAAAAGAAAGAGGAAACTTGAATTCTGCCCAAAGGAAACTTCTTCAAGAAGGCTGTGCTCTTTTGATTTTAATACACTGAAATTACAGAATGGCCTTTGACATGGCAATTTTCATGTCGTTTTGAACGTCAAATTGATTTTGACTCTGTTTGGAAGGCAGTGAGGCCCAAAGCCCTGACTCATGAAAGAGCAGAATAACAACCCGAACTCGCCTCGTTTTGCTGGACGTGGAAGCCCGGCTGGGTTGATCTGCTGTCTCCTCGTTTTCCACCAGCGTGAGGTCATCTCTGGCAGTGTGTGCCTCACAGAGGCTGGCTGGGGCAGCAGGTACTGGCCACTGGTGCAGGGTCCCATTGCCTGCGATGAGGGACACAGCTAACGTTCCCGAGGAGCTTCCAGGCACCTTGCACTCTGTCCCTGGCAACACAGTGACAAGGCTTTGTTCCTCCACCCGAAACAAGGCAGTGGCATGGCCTCCGGTTCTCGAAGGTTCACTCCTATCTTCCGCTCACACTTCAGTTTCTTTGTAGTCTTGAATCATTGTTCTCCAGCATATTCTACAGAGGGCCTTGGTCTACCTCACCCATGCAGCTAAACCCATCTATTAGGGAAACCAACACTCAAGCTCACTCCTGCCATTAAACTCTCCTGAGATTTGAGTTTCCTCCTCTTTCACAAGACCGGAAATCCCTTGTAAGTTAAGCCAAGCTCATTAACGTTGTCTTCTGCGGCATCCATAGAGTTCTGCCAGGAGAGTTGAACCCTGTTCCTCTTCCCTTTACCGGACAAAACCTCTGGGAGAGGTGGGCTCAAGCTCTGAATCTGGTGACGTTTATGGTTTCCGCAGCAGTGTGTCTATTGGCATCGCGTATCAGGGTCGAGGGTGGCAAGGCATGGGGTCTGCAGAGTTTCTGCCCTCCCCCAAACAGCAAGATCCACACGCACTGACACGCGTCACGGGAACTCATTTGACACAGGATCAAGTTTGCAAAATTTCCCATGAGGTCGACCATGACCACAGCTGTCAAGGTTTCCAAAAAGGACTCCCCACTGGATTTGGCCTTGGTCATACCTTAAACCTTCTTTTGCCAGCGGCCCCTATACCTGCATAATCCGTTGCAGTGTTGCATTCTGATGACCTTCTATTTTCCCGGTTCCCTTTTGCTCCGACCTGTGCTCCAGCAAACCTGCAGGCCATTGATGCTGCCGCCTTGTCACGGTCTCTCACACCACTGATCCTTCCCTCCACCCCTTACCCAGCCTCCTTCTCTTAAACTGCAGGTTCCCTCATTGGAGTCACTCTTGCTTTGTAACATCTACTGAACAATGCCCTAGTCCTGGTAAAATGAAACTTTCTACCTACTTCATGCTGGCACGGGTACCCCTGAACAAAGCTCAGCCCTGCTTCTGCTCTTGCTTACGATGATGTTCACCAGCAAGGTGCCGCTAGCAGCCAGACTGCTCCCCTCAGTCTGTTTGCCTCCTTCCAGATGACTTTTCATATCTTCCGTCCTCTGAACACCTCCAACATCTGCTCCCTATCCGCATTCACACCTGACGGCTTCCCTCGTCTGTCACCTACTCTCCCAGCTTTTTGCTCTCTCAGCAGCACCCCCTAGGTGGAGACGCCATCTTCGATTCCTCTCCTCTCACTGTGTCTTAACCCCACTTGGACCAGGCCTCTGTGTGTGCCACTCTGCCAGAGGCACCCTCCCCGAGGTCATCATGCTGCTGCATCTCCCTGCCAATCCTCAGTCGCCATCCCTAGCACGTGGCAGGCTAGTCCCTCCTGCTCCCTTGGTGTGGCTTACCGGACACCCACTTTCTTGGTCTAATCACAGCACTCACAGTTCATCCCCGTTTCCTTTGCTGATCCTTCCTCTTCCCGCACCCTCTGGGGTTGATGCGCCCAGGGCTCTGTCCTGGACGCTCCTTGGTCTCCCTCTGCACCCCTCTGTGGGCGATCTCATTCCTCTTGTTGCTTTATGTACCATGAAATGGCTCCCAGATTTGCGTCTCCAGCCCAGATCTCTCTCCTGCACCCAAGACTCATATTCCAACTGCCCCTCCACCTTCCATGCTCTCTGTATTGCCCACGCTCCTGACTCCAGCAGAATCTGCACCTCATCTGTCTCTGCACTCTTCAAATCCAAGTTCCAAGGCATTTCTCTACTTGCCAACCTCAATTTGGAAGTACCACCTCAGCACGCCCCTCACTGAACTCGCGCTCACCCTCTCCGCACTCCACCCTCGGCCTTCCCCAGCTCTGTGCACGGCTGATCCTTCCTTCCATTTGCACAGCCAAAGCTCTGCAGTTAGGGTTGACCCCTCTCTTCCTCTCACACTGATGAGAAACCTGTTGAGAAATCTTTTTAGGTTTTCTTTCAAAATCCACCCCGACCCTGATCACTTCTCACCATCTCCACGGTTGTCACTTGCGTCAAGCCTTTGTCCTCTTCTGATGACTTTGGGAGCCCCCAGCAGACCTCCCTGCCTCCCCACCCCCATGTGTCCTCAACACAGCAGCAGGGATTCTTTTCTCTAACAGCTTTATTGAGATATAATTCACATACTATACAGGTCACCCATTTAAAGTGTACGATTCAATGGTTTTTATTATATTCACAACATCTTCTCCCTCCCCAAAGACCCCACACCCCTTAGCTGTCGTCCTTCCTCCCCCACCACCTTCCAGGCAACCATTCATCCACTTCCTGCCTCTCTAGATCTGCCTACTGGGGCATTTCCTGTAAGAGGAATCCTGCACTATGGTGGAAGGGTCCTGGGGCGGTCCGTGGTCAGGGATCCTTTGATGCCTTCTGCTGGATCATGTCTGTCTTCTGCTGGAAATCCCACAGTGGCTCCTGCTTCGTTCAGCTCAGAAGTCAGCACCCAGCACCCGGGCCACCTACCAGACCCCACACGACCCAGCGCCTCGCCCTGGGACCCCGTGGCCTCCATTTTCCTTCTCACTCACTTGATTCCTGCCATCCTGGGCCTCCTTGCCCTTCTTTTCAAAACCCCACATGGGGTCCTCCTTCCGCCTGGATGCCCTTTCTAGACACCCTCAGCTCACCCTCCCACCTCATTCGAGTCTTTGCTTGCATGTTCCCTTCCAGTGGGACCTACCCTGGCGCTCTAAGGCTTTGTAGACAGCTCCCCCCGCACCACCTGCCCTGGCACTCGCAGACCCTGTGCCCTCCAGCCCCTTCCCGCAGCACTCACTGCCCTCCGGCATACTCAGAGCACTGGCACCCTCTGTTCCTTCTGCTAGCGTGGCCGCTCCACAGAGCAGGGAGCTGCGGTGACTCCCACGGTCTCCCAGGAGCAGTCCCTGAGGGGAGCTGGCCCCTACACAGTAGCTGGGGGTGAATCCGTGGACACCCAGCAGGTGAAAACCGGGACTCAGCTCCCTGGAGAGACGTCTGCGGTTCCACCTGCTGCATGTTCCAGAGAACTAGAGCAGCTCCAAGTTCCGCTGTGGCTTCCTTCAAGCTCAGGAGGAATATCTGTGAGCCCAGAGTGGATGGAACTGCTTGTTTCTTCCAAGCCACAGAACAGCTTGGCTGTTTCCAGAGTGCACAGCCTCCCCAAAGTCTCTCCAAGAACATGGCTTCGGTGTGTGTTTATTGTAGGATGTTCAAGGCCTCCGTGGGGCGGGGCAGGGGGACCCCAAGTTCTGGTTAAGTAACTGTCCTTTAACACCGCCGTTCTCAGGAGCCACAGCTACACTGCGGCGTGCGTGTCGGGAGCGATGGCTGCCTGGGACTCTTCAGCTTGTGGGTTTGCTCTTCCTTTCTCAAGCACCTTGCAGTACAAGAAGCACTGGGTTTTTGTGTCCTGGTGAATCCAGGGATCAAGGAAAACCAGAGGACACAGATGCTCCAAGATGCCTCCTTCCTTTCACCATTTTCCAGACAAAGCAGACAGGGACACAGAGAGGCCCAGAGCCCCTCATCAGGCCCCGTCTCCTTTAATTCCGTCCTCATTAAACCCTGCTAGACTTTCCAACATGCTGACCTTGAGAATCACACATCGCCTCATCTCCCCCAGCCTCCCAGAGCTGGGCAGCACCGCTTAACTGACGCGACTGGATCCAGGTGACGAAGCCTTTCTTGAGAGTAGCTGAAGTGACACTGTCTTAGTCAGTAGAGGCTGCTACCACAAAAAGCACCCCCAACACCAGGTGGCTTACATAGTGTTTATTTCTTTCTCATGGTTCTGGAGGCTGGGAAGTCCAAGATCAAAGTGCTGGCAGATTTTGTGTCTGCTGAGGGCCTACCTTCTGGTTCACACATGGCACCTTCTTGCACTTTGTCTTCATGCATTGCAAGGGGCAAGAGAGCTCTCTGGGGCCTCTTTTATGTTATTTCTACATTTTTAATTTAAAAAAATGTTTAGAGACAGAGTCTCACTCATCACCTAGGCTGGAGTGCAGTGGCACGATCCTAGCTCACTGTGTCCTTGAACTCCTGGGATCAAGCGATCCTCCTGCCTCAGCCTCTCACGTAGCTGGGGCTAGAGATGTGAGCCACCACATGCAACATATTTTTTTTTATTTTTAGTTTTTGTAGTGATGAGGGCTTGCTGTGTTAACCAAGCTGGTCTTGTACTTCTGTGCTCAAGCTATCCTCCCGTCTCAACCCCCCAAAGTGCTGAGATTACTGGTGTAAGCCACTGCACCTGGCCATGGGGCTTCTTTGATAAGGGCACTAATCCCATTCATGAGGCCCCACCCTCATGACCTAATTACCCCCCAAAGGCCCCACCTCCTAAAATCATCCCTCTGGGGATTAGGTTTCAACATATGAATTTTGGGGGTACAAATATTCAGTCCATAGCATACATCGAAGGGGGAAATTCTTTTTTCTGAAACCAGGTCTTGCTTTGTCACCCAGGCTGAAGTGCAGCAGCATGGACTCGGCTTACTGCAGCCTCAACCTCTCAGGGTCAGTCAGTCCTCCCACCTCAGCCTCCCGAGTAGCTGGGACTGCAGGTGCACCCCATTACGTTTGGCTAATTTTTTTTATGTGTATGGAGACAGGGTTTTACCATATTGCCCAGGCTGCTCTTGAATTCTTGACCTCAAGTGATCCTACCGCCTCAGACTTCCAAAGGGCTGGGATTACAGGCATGAGCCGCAGCAAAGAAAGTCTTTTTAAACGATTCTTTATCAGAGGCCTCTGACAGCTCATTCTTGTTCCCCACCTTAAGCACCTCTGGCTTTCATTGATATTGCTTGCTTGGGTCTTAGTGCCTCAGTCAGGGCCTGGAGGTTGGGATTTCCTGGTGAATTTGATGGTTAGTCTCCTGGTTCACCCTTACGGGAGTGGCTGGAACAATTGGCGTCCCTCTTCCCCAAGCACCTGAAGACAAGTCCTGCCCTTTGTGTGCTCAGAGAGGAGGGAGGGAAAGTGATTTCTGGGCCCAAAGTCCAAGACTTGGAGGGAGGGAAGACCCCAAACACAGCACAGAGGGACGATGCCCATCATTGCTCCCAAGGCAGCTCTTCCCCCTGCCTGGGAGCGGAGCTGACCTCATGGCAGAGGGCTAGGCAGAGTGTGGTTAATATCTCACAAGGCACAGGACATCTGGAAGCTGAGATGTGCCAAGAGGCTTTGAGGCTGAGCATATTTCAGGGCTGGGATGGGAGGGAGCTTCTCATCTGTTTAGTGGCAGCTAGACCAGGAGGGCACCTGGGACCAGGACCAGGCTAGGTGGACATGAGTGGTCACAGGAGGCTGAGGCTGCAGGGTGTCTGGGAAGGCACTTGGCCAGATGCAGAGGGCAACCCATGCCCTGAGGGTGGGGGCACTGTTGGAGCAATCCCAGTGCAGGGAGACCCCCAGGATCTAGCAGGAGCTCTGTGCAGGGCTCACATGGTTCATGGGGGCCCAGCAACAGAGAGGACCCTATTGGCAACCATCAGCACTGGATTCTGCCTTTGGTCTGAGCAGAGGTGGTCCACCCCGCTTCCCCTCTCCTTCCTCTCTGCCCTTCCTCTCCAGGGCAAGGCCTGGCCTACCAGCACTTTCGTTGGCCCTGCTCAGATGCTTGGGACTAGGTGGGAACAAGGCCCTCTCCTATGAGAGTTCCTGGCAGCACCAACCCCTAGGACCTGAGACAAAGGGGCCAGGTGAGTTTCTTTAAGGGCCCCTCGCTCATTCGATTTGGGGTCCCTCTGATTTCCATGCAGCCTGGGACTTGGTAGGACTTGGACACACATAGGCTGGCATCTGGCTCCATTGGTGTGAAGGCGTCAGTTCTGTCCCACACACCCTGAGCATTTCATGCTATTCTGAGGCATGAGGATGAGCTCGTATTCTTGCTCCTTGTCTATTCCTTCATCCCATTGTGCCAAACCTTCATGAGCCTCCTCTCAGCCAAGGCAGGTGACCCAGAGATGAATCTGATGCATGATTTTACCCCTGGAGCTCATGGTCTGGTTAGGGGACTTGGAAACTGGTGAGCTTATACTTCTGCATGATCAGTGGTTTAAAAGAAGGAAGCACAGGGTGCTTGAGTCTAGGAGAGAGAGTAACTTGCTCTCTTTGCGGGCCTAACGAGCTGGGAGCTGGGTTTTGAAGACTGAATAGGAGTCTGCCAGAAAGGGCAGGGCAGGCATTCTGGGCAGAGTGAGCAGTGTTTTCTCGGACCCATGGCTGTAAGGGCGTTGCGGGAACATGAGCAGGTCCCTGGGAGGGTTGGCAGGCAGGTCAGGCCCATCAGGAGGCCCTAGCCAGTGTGCTCGCACTCCCGCACGGGTCTGCTAGGCTTGGGAAGAGGGAGGTACAGAGGATTTTAATGGGGGCAAGCTCAGGTGAGGACTCGAGCTACAGGGAGTGAAGGGCAGGGAGCAGCAGCGGATGGGGCCAGGTCTGGGAGGAGGCTGCTGCATCCAGGTAGAGGGAGGGGCTGAGCTCATCATGGACGGGGAGATGGGGAAGGTGCCAGGATGCGGTGACTCCTTGGATGTGGAGATGAGATGGGCACAGCAGCAATGGCTGATGGGTTGGGGTAGGGAAAGGTGACAGGTTTGTTTGGGACTTGTTGGCATGAAGGTGCCTTGTGACACCCCAGGGGCAGTTGCAGGCAGCAGGGGGCGGGGTCTGGAGCCTGGGGAGGTGCAGGCTGGAGGTGGGTCGGGGGGCACCTGTCAGCAGGTCCATGGTCATGGAGGTCAAAGCAGCAGGTGTGGAGCAGGCAGAGAGGAGAGCGAGGGTGAAGCCCTGCACACGGAAGCCCAGTCCTAGTGGATGAGCAGCGTCCAGGGCACGGTGGACTGGGCCCCACTTCCTGTGGGGGTGCAGCCTCCACTTCTCTCTGAGATGCATGGTGAGGCCTTCTCCATGCAGAGCTGGAGAAGTCACCTGAGGACTGCCCACCTGGGTGAATTCAGGCAGAGCAGCAGGAATCCCCCACAGAGCAGGGGTTAAGCCTCGAGGGCTGGTGATATCTCTGGCATCTGATGGGGAGGGCGCCTGTGGCAGGAGAGGGTCTCTTCTGGCAGAGAGCTTGCATGAAGTCCAGCTGCCCTGAGCCAGGAAGAGTTACTGGGAGGACATTAGGAAACCTGCAGAGTCCACGGGGAGTCGGGCTGTGGAAGGGCCTGGCAGTCGGGGTCCTGGACACAGGAGGGTCTTAACCATTGTGACCAGGTGTTTAGTGACACCACTACCTTTTCCTCTTCTGGCTCCTGCGGCTCAAATCCCACACTCTGTGAGGGAGAGGATGTTTGGCTTGGGGAGGGCTGTGTGCATGCAGGGTTCCAGGAATTCCAGGAAATAACACTGGGCTGCTGCTCTGAGAAAGGGGAGAATGGATGCTGGGCCACCCCCAGACCTTGGTGCCTGGTCCTTGGGGACCTGGAGATGGCTGCTCAGCGGCTTGAGGGCTTCAGTGTAGTCAGTGTAGTGTGTGTTTCTGTTTTTTTGTTTTTGTTTGTTTTGTTTGTTTGTTCATTTTGTTTTGTTTTGAAACGGAGTCTCACTCTATCACTCAGGCTGGAGTGCAATGGTACAATCTCCTCTCACCGCAACCTCTCCCTCCGGGTTCAAGCGATTCTCCTGCCTCCAGCCTCCCGAGTAGCTGGGATTACAGGTGCCTGCCAACACGCCTGGCTAATTTTTGTATTTTTTAGAGGAGACAGGGTTTTGCCATGTTGGCCAGGCTGGTCTTGAACTCCTGACCTCGTGATCCACCCTCCCCCACCCTCAGCCTTTCAAAGTGCTGGGATTACAGGCGTGAGCCACCATGCCCGGGCTGTTTTTGTTTTTTAATGTGACACATTTTAACAAGCATAGCATTTAACAAAGCAGATAATATGATACAACACATACACACAAGATACACTGTCACAGTCATGGGAGATGGCACTGATGATGTTCAGTCAGTATTTAGGCAGGATTGGAAAGAAAAATGTCTCTGCTGTGTTTTGCACACTTGTACACAGACACAGAAGTTTTTTATTCCAAAATGTGGAGTTATCTGCAACTCTGCAAATTATACTTGATATTTACTTTTCTTGATATATTTGCTGAAAAACGATTCTCCCAGTAAACAGTGGTGATTTCTCAGAACAGTAGTTATTTGTCAGCAGCCTTTAACTACGGCAAACCTTTTTCACTTGAGTTTGAAGGGTGAACGCCTTCCCGCCTCCCGACACAGATGCTCATGGTCGTGCATAATTTCATGTGCTTCCATTCTCCAGACTTGTTGGAAATGCCATATTTTATGCTTGTAATTAGTCAGATGAGCCAAAGGATTTGAAATTTAAACATTTGAACCCTAAGAGAATCTTGAAACTTTAACCAAAGAAACAGAAGAAGAATGTATACAAACATGGGAATTGCAGTTCAACAGCCCTTTATTAAAAAAAAAAAGGTATTGTGCTGGCAGTGGAATCAAAGACAAAAATATGATCATCACAGTCTACAAGGCACTTTACCGATCTACTCATCCTCATCCTGATGCAGACACGCGTGGGAATCGTCTGAGTGGCAGGACCTGCAGCCATTGTCACCCGACTTTACAGATGAAGCAGCTAAGAAATGACTCAATAAACTTATAGTGATTTGCTTGACATGTCAGAGTTAAAATGTAACAGCCCCAGAAGGAGTGGCCTAGCACAGCGTTCAAGAGCACAGACTCTTGGTAGCCATGCCAGGGTTCATATCCTGGTTCTGACACTTCCGAGCAGTGTGAAATTGGGATAGCCTTTCTCAGTTTCCCCATCTGCAGAATGAAGATAAGCATCACAGCTAACTCACACAGCTGCTGCGAAGAATCAGTGGGCAACTATAGACGAGGTGCTTGGAACAGTGCCTGAGCCACCTTAAGAGCAGTATGGATGTTTCTGTCTGTCAGGGATCCCGTGTGGCTTCCATGGCGCCGCACTTGGGCATAGTCGGAGATTTGATAAAACATTGGTGCAATGTAACAGCCGCACACAGGTGCACTGGCTTAGCAAACTGGAGTTTGGATTAATTTAATCAAAACCAAGTGTCGAGAGGGCACCAAAGTCCAGGATAAACGTGGAATATCTTCCTGGAGCATCGATTTTACTTTAAAAAGATGCACTCTATTTCATAATGTAAAATTGACACTTTTTAAAAGACAGAATGCGGAGGCAACTGTGGAGTTCTCATTTTTGGCAAAAGCTGATACGGGTTCTGCCTTCACTCTCTGGGATATTGGCTAATTTCCTCTTTTTTTTTTTCTTTTTCTTTTTTCTTTTTTTTTTTCCTAGAGACAGGGTCTCGCTCTGTGGCCCCAGCTGGAGTGCAGTGGCACAATCATGGCTCACTGCAGCCTCTAACTCTGGTACTCAAGTGATCCTACCCCCTCGGCCTCCTAAAGTGCTGAGACTGCAGGGGTGAGCCACTGCCTCTGCTGACTTCACTATTCACTGCACCGAGAAGACTCTCATGTGTATTTATAACAATTTGGATAAAAATTTTGGACATTGATCCATGTCAGCTGCGAGACAGGGAACGACTTGTTATATGCACCAATTTGTCCTTTAATTACTTGTTAAGCTTTGATTTGTCCTATTATCAGAATTCTCATCCTCTTCTCTGCAAGTTTATGCTCGCCATGGTAGGCGACTGTAGAGGTCACCGGCCCCTTACAGTTCAGCAAGTGTGGATTTGTGCAGACACCGGGACGCCATCAGCACATCGAGGCGGTAGACACTCGTCTTCTCCCACGGTTTCCTTCTGTCCCTTCATTTCTGTTGCTGTTGTTGTTTGCTTTTGTGGAAAGAACACTTAACGTGAGCTCAGACCTCTCAGAGAATTTCGAAGTGCACAGTGCCACATGGTCAGCTACAGGCACAACGTTGTACAGCAGACCTCTAGTACTTACTCGTCCAGCATCACTAAAACTTTACACCCATTGAACAGCAACTCCCCATTTCCCGCTCCCCCAGCTCTGGCAGCCTCTATGGTGTCATCTGCTTTCATGCGTTTGATTACAGATCCTCATGTGAGTGGACGAGTGCCGTATTTGTCCTTCTGGGCCTGGCTTATTTCAGAATGCGTGTGCATGTGGGGAGGGGGTCTGCGTACCATTACACTGTCACTGATGTGGATGTGCAATACAGGCCTGGGTCCCTCTCATCTTTTGGTAGCCCCCCCGGCTTTTTTTTTTTGAGACTGAGTTTCGCTCTGTTGCCCAGGCTGGAGTGCAGTGGCACGATCTCGGCTCACTGCAACCTCCGCCTCCCGGGTTCAAGCCATTCTCCTGCCTCAGCCTCCTGAGTAGCTGCAATTACAGGCGCCCACCACCATGCCCGGCTAATTTTTGTATTTTTAGTAGAAATGGGGTTTCACCATGTTGGCCAGCCTGGTCTCGAACTCCTGACCTCAGGCAATCCGCCTGCCTCGGCCTCCCAAAGTGCTGGGATTAGAAGCATGAGCCACTGCGCAGGCCTTGATAACCCTATTGTTTTACAAAATGAAAGAGTGCCTGACAGTACATGAATGGTGGTATGTTTTAGGTACATGCGTGAAATGGAGGAAGTCTGTATAGACGCAGACACACCGCAGTGCAGTGGTGCCAGCCAAATCCACGCTCCCAGAAGTGAGACCCAAGGTGACAGTAACTGGACCCAAGTATCCCCAAGTCTCACCGTCTCTGTGTGCCTGTGTGCACAGCCCTCCCGGGCATAACGTCAAGCGTATGTATTTGATGTGTGTTTGAGGCTGGGTCTTGCCCTGGCATCAGCAGAAGCAGGCCCTGGAGCGCATAAGTGACCACCAGACCTGCACACCCTCTGCACAGCTGAGCATCTCGGCATCAATGCCCTGTGAGTGCCCAGGGCCAGGTAGGCACTCAGGAAGCCTGCAGGCCCTGGGATGTCCAGACCGCACTTTCTGGTAATCCCACATTGCCCATCCTCTGCCTCTGCGCATCCCCTCCCCCCTTGCCCCCGAGGGCACCCTGCCTGCCCACCTCACGCCCAGCCCTGCCCAGCCTGCCCTGCCCTCCTCCCGCCGGGACCACCTCTGCTAAATCACTTAATCCGGTGATATGTTTCCTCTGGCAGGCCAAGCCCATCCCTCCTGACTCTCAGGGATTTGATTATAGTGTTTTCTAACAAAGTCAAAAACAGATTTCCATGAGAGGCTTATAGCTCAGTAATTCTATGGTGCTTTGGTGCAGTGTGCCAAGGCGCAGGGATGTACGGGGTCAGGATGTCGAGAGAAAAGGTCACAAAATTAAATTAGAACCAAGGAGGGTAAGCCTTGGCAAGAGAGGCCTGTCCGGCCAGCTGACAGGGGCATGCGCCCTGGAGAACCCCGAGAAAGGGGAGTTGTGAAAATGAGCCATTTCACGCCTAATTACGATTTCCCATAAGGTACTTAGGAGGGATGATGTGCGCTGGACTTGGACAATTAACGTAATTAAACATTCATGCTGCCTGCGGCCCATTTCCTGCCTGGGGATATCTTTGGAAGCTGAAGCATTTCTTTTTTCTTGGAGGTGATTTCAAGAATGGCTGCAGAGGAAGGGCTTCCTGCGGGGCTGGGCCTTGGGGGATGTACCTCTGCACCCCAGTGGGGCAGGACCCCTACAAAGAGTGTTTCTTGGTGGCAGCTGGGGGCCTGGGGGCCGGGGAAGGCTGGATGCCACTGACCTGGAATTACCTCTCCGTCGGGAATGGGCAGCGGGGTCTCATGTTTGTGGAGTGGGCAGCAGGGTCTCGTGTTTGTGGAATTACCTCTCCGTCGGGAGTGGGCAGCGGGGTCTCGTGTTTGTGGAGTGGGCAGCGGGGTCTCGTGTTTGTGGAATTACCTCTCCGTCGGGAGTGGGCAGCGGGGTCTCATGTTTGTGGAGTGGGCAGCGGGGTCTCGTGTTTGTGGAATTACCTCTCCGTCGGGAGTGGGCAGCGGGGTCTCGTGTTTGTGACTCTGCCTGTGTTTTGATCACGGCCAAGTCACTTAAGCCCAGATTCTCTGGCGTCCCCTCCTTTCCTCCGATTCTCTGACAGAAGCCTGTAAGGACTTCCTTGGCTTCTCTGGGCCTCAGGTTTTCTATGTGTCTTACTTGTGGACACTGATCAGGACACTGAGGGTCTGACGGAGAGAGGGTGGCCTGACCGAGGTGCACAGCTGGAGGTGCCTGACCGAGGTGCACAGCTGGAGGTAGCTTTGCTGGGACCAGAACCCAGGGCACTTGCTCACGTGCTGGCTGTCACCTCTCAAGCACAGGCCGGGGGAGGAGCTCAGGATCCAGCCAGACTGACTGAGCTGTTCTCAGGTGACCGCACACCACAGACTTCAGTGCAGACTGGCAGAGCTTCGGCTCCCTCCTCTGGGAAGGAGCACCGGGCTTCCTAGCTCCAGAGTTGTGGATGCTGGATGAGGAGGCCGTGGTGAAGGCACCGCCCCGGGTCTGGAGCCCCACAGGAGCCTTCCCCAGATGCTCCGCAGGCAGTGGATGTCCGCTGGCTTTGGTTAGTGTTCTGCCTGCCTTAAGGGCAGGCACAGTCGGCCCAGCCGCGCATGGTGGGTTCTGGGGCTGGGGGCACCTCCAGGTCTCAGGGCACCTGCCTTGCTGCCGAGAGACTGCATCAGGCAGGAGGCAAGGCAGTGGCCGGCATAAGAGCTGGGCCTTGCTGCAGAGTCTCCTTCCGCTTCACACCCACACTGGTTTTGGGCTATGGCAGGTGGAGCAGGGAGGAGCCAGGGCCCCGGAGGTCTTCAGGCTGGGGCAAGTCCACCCCCAATTCTGCCCTGCTGGCTGGAGAGGACAAGAAAACAGGCTGGTGCCCAGACTGGGTTCTGGTGGAGTGAGCTGAGTCAGGAACAGCCCTGTCCGTGCACCTGGCCCGTTCCTGTCACCTCTGTGGGCCTCAGGTTTTCTATGTGTCTTACTTGTGGGCTGTGGCCAGCATCGTTATGCCTACTTTTCAGATCAGGACACTGATCTGTGTGCGCCACTGCGGTGCTCTGCAGCTGATTCATCCTGGAGGCCGCCCACACCTGGGGCCTCCGGCCCACCCTCTCTCTGTGCTCCAGACCACTCCTGCCTGAGTGTCTCATGGGTGTCTGTCCTTGTGTCCCCACAGAAATCTCAGCCCAACACGCCCCACACGGCCTTCTCCTCCTCCCACGCGGCTCCTCCCGAGGGTCCCTTGCAGGGAAGGCTTCCCAGGGTGACCGGTTGCCCAGGTCAGAAACCCGGAATCCTCCCTGGCCCCACTTTCTGCACCCAAGCTGTGACTCCCCCTCTCAGTCTTTGTCCACACGCTGCCTCCCCTGCCTTCCACCCTCCTTCCTGGCTCCCTCTCCAGCCCCAAGCCAGGGCTGCCCTGCCCCCTCTAGTCTCTCTGCACTTCTGCCCTCCTCCCGGCCTCGGCCATCTCTCCTCTCCTGGCCCTCCCTCCTTGGCACAGCAGGGGCTTCCCTCACTCCCAGGCCCTCTGCACTGCTGGTCCTGTGGGCCGTGGTCAGGAACACCCTTCCCCCTCTGCCTGCCTCTCAGCCCTCCCCATGAGCGTCAGGTTCCCTCTCTGTGTCTGGGCCCTGCAGTCCTAGAGGGCATCTGGGGTTGAGGGGATGCTGGTCCTGCTCACTCTGTGGTCCCAGCCCAGCAGGCTCATCATCACTCAAAGGGCCCCAGCTGGGGGCCCTGCAGCCCACCAGATACTGCCGTGCCAGCACCCAGAGCCAGGCCAAGCAGATCGGTGCCAGACCAGTTCCACCCCAGATCACAGCTGGGCCTTGACTGTCAGGGTGGCCCCCTTCAGCTGCCAAGTGTAGAGTCGTCAGGGAGCAGGCCAGGCTGGGGGCTCCCTCTGCCCCTGACCCCTGGGGGAGCTGCTGGGAGAGTCCTGGCCTCTCCTGCATGTGCGTGGCTTGCTTTTTGGCTGGACTAAGGATTGCAGCCATATGAAATGCTCATTGCTGTCCTCATCCCCCTCCCATTGGCTGTCCTGGAACTCAGCTCCTTTCTGCAGGGCAGCCACTGCACACCTTTCTTCTGTGTCCTTTCAGGATGTCCTGTGCACACACAAGTATATATATATACACATGTGTACACACACATATATAAATCCTAGGATTAGAATCTCTGGCTCAAGGGATTTTGTGTCCTGTAGATACTGTGTTTTCGTTTTTCTGACTTTTTCCTGCACACTGTAGACTACACCGTGTGCTACCCTGCATTTGCGATTATCAGGGAACATGTCTTGGACGTCGTCCACAGCAGCCCCTCCAGACCTGCCCATTCCTCCTGCTCAGGCATTCCATCCTGTGAATCACTTGCTTAACCAGACCTTGACTGATGGGGACGTTACTTCTTTTCACCGTTTCTTATAATGCAGCCGTGGATATCCTTACACTTATTTCCTTGGCTACTTGTATGAGGACATTTGTAGGATTAAATTTGATAACTAGAATTGTGGATTCAAAAGGTTTGTGCATTTTCAACTTTGATAAGGATGACCACAACCCTAGGATGGTTGGCTGGATCCGTTTCTCTCAGCATGTACCCCTGATCCGTACATTTTTATTTGGACAATCTGATGCAGGTTGTTTCTTTAATTAAGGGTGAGGTCGAGCGTCTTCTCATACACTGAAAAGCTGCTCGGTGGCTCATACCCGTAATACCAACACTGTGGGAGGCCAGGGTGGATGGATCACCTGAGGTCAGGAGTTTGAAACCAGCCTGGCTAACATGGTGAAATCCTGTCTCTACTAAAAATACAAAAAAAAAAAAAAATTAACCAGGTATGATAGCAGGCACCTGTAATCCCAGCTGCTTGGAAGGCTGAGGCAGGAAAACTGCTTGAATCCGGGAGGCGGTGGTTGCAGTGAGCTGAGATCACGCCACTGTACTCCAGCCTGGGTGACAGAGACTCTGTCTCAAAAAAAAAAAAGAAAGAAGGAAAGAAGAAAGAGAAGAAAGAAAGAAAGGAAGGAAGGAAGGAAAGAAGGAAGGGAAAGAAAGAAAGAGATAAAGAAGAAAAGAAAAGCTGCTGTCTTTTCTTTTCTGACAATTGTCCCCTCATATTGAAATGAGAGAAGTTCTCTTGTCCTCCTCGCAGGGCGTGCTATGGGGGTGTGGCTTCCTTCTTCAGTGTCCCTCTGCTCAAACCTCTGGGGGAGAATACAGACGGGCAGGCTGTGGGGCTCCGACCCCACAGCAGTGTCTAGGGGTGAATGTTTGCAGCCCCTGAAGCCCCAGTGGGCGTGTGCTGCATGTGCTCTTTTACTTTAGCTGTCTGTAGGCGGCTTGTGTTAACCAGCTCAGTTAGACCCTCTACCTTGTCGCAAGGACAGAGGGCTTTCTGTATCTCGGGTTCTTCCTTGATGTCCTGGAAGAATCAGATCACACGTGGGCTTGGAGAATGAGTGCGAGGTTTTATTGAGTGGAAGTAGCTCTCAGCAGATGGGGGAAGCCAGAAGGAGGATGGGGTGCAAAGGGCTTTCCCTGGAGTCGGGCCGCTAAGCAGCCTGGGCTCTCCTCTGACTGCCCCGGCCAAACTCCGTGTCGTTCTGCTTCTGCCGGTCGGTGGCCTGCAGCGTGCTGGTGCTCGTTGGTGCGTTCCTCTCGACGTCCAGCCGCCTGTGTGTTCCTCCCCTCATGCGCTCCTCTCGACGTCCAGCCGCCTGTGTCTGCCTGTTAGGGTCTCGGGTTTTTATAGGCACAGGATGGGGACATGGTGGACCAGGGTGGTCTTGGGAAATGTGACATTTGGGCACAAAGGCAAGAGTGCCTGTCCTCACATAGGTCCGTGAGGGTGGAGCCCTTAGCCAGGGACCATGCACTTCCCTGCTTCCATATCATTTAAAGGGAGCATGCCCTTCTCTACCCAGCACTTTTGTATCAATACCGTTTGTCCATTTCCCTTTTGGATTGCTGGATTGTTTCCTGTTGATTTGTAAGAGCGCTTTATGTATTAAGGAAATTAGTCCTTTGTCTGAAGCGCACATGATGTGGGTGAGCCCTTGGCTGTGCGGGGCTGAATTGAGAGTCCATGAGAGGGAGGAGGAGCCTGGTGCGTGCTGAGTGTTAGTTGCCGTGTGGATAACCAGGGAGTGTTCCTCAGGCCCCTGCGTGAGGATTCCACCATAAAACACATCCATCAGGAGCTGTCCTTCAAGGTGGGAAAGGGATGTGGAGAAACAAGTGGGGCGTGAACTGCGGCCCGGGAAGCTTCAGCCACTGTGAGGCAGAGGCAGGTGGACTCACTCTGGTTGGCCAGAACCTACTGTGCTCAAAACCTCTCCAGGCCAGACGGAGGAGGATACAGGGAAACGGTTGCTCAGGGCGTGGAGCCGAGGTGGCAGACAGACCTGAGGACACAGCTTTGGTCTGGGCGTGGAGCTGAGGTGGCAGACAGACCTGGGGACCCAGCTTTGGTTCATTTCACAAGCAGCACAGCACCTACATTATTCTTAAATTGCTTTTTGCCAGTATTTAGAGATCAGAGACTTCACATGCAAATCCAGATTTCTCACTTCCTTACAAAAATAAGACCCAGCAACATGGACCTGCACCCTCCTAGTCACCACTGGCCACCTTGGGCTGGAGGCAGTGTGCCCTCTCATCCCCCTGCCCACATGGCTTTTCTCACGGGAGCAAAATATTTCTCAGTGAAGAGGGAATAAGCAAAAGACAAGCCAAGAGGGCCGCATGCTCCAAGGAAAATTGGGAGAGTATATTTCTTTCTGGAAATGCAGACCGTTTCTCTCTGTTCAACATGTGAACAAAATATGTCTAGGTCAGAGAGATGGGGCATCGGGAAACACGCCCAGCCTAGCAGGGACCCACAGGTCGAGGGTCAGGGAGGCCCGAGTGAGAATTGCTGTGGTGTGAGGCCTGCGGCCGGCAGCGTGTTGTCAGGATGGCGCCTACGGATGTCAGGGTGTGCCGGGAGCCATGGCGACAGCTCCCAAGAAAAAGAGGAGAAGACGGTGGTAGCGTGCACCCACCGCATGGCTGCAGTAAGCGCACAGCATCCACCTGCCCCGCTGACCTCACGCCGCCCTCATGCTCTCCCTGTAAATGACGGCCAGGAAGGAAACCGATGTAGACTCCACGGCCAACTGCTCCCACCAAGGAGATACAGACAATCCGCCCGCATCCACGCTGCGCCTCGTCCTACCCTGTCCTGTCTCCACCTGCTCAGAAGTAGCATAAGGATAACTAAGTTTTCCATTTATCCAATAGGCGTTTTTGGCCCGTTTATTTATTCATTTTGCCAAGCCCCATGTGGGTACCTGGGGACTTAGAGAGGGGTCAAGGGCCACCTCAGTCTTCCAGGAGTTCACTGTAGAGCCTGTGTGTGCATGTGCACGTTTGTGTGTGTGCATGTGTGTGCCTGAGTGTGCATGTCACATATGCACACACGTGTGACATGCACACACATCCATAGACTCACATACACGCACATGCACTCACATACACTCACATGTGATGAATGTATGCATGTGCGTTTGTGTGCATGTAAGAGCATTCGTGTGTGTGAGTGCATTCATGTGTGAGTGTGCGTCTGTGAGTGTATGTGTGTGTGCATTCATGTGAGTGTGCATGTGAGTATGCGAGTGCATTCACGCGTGAGTGCATGCGTGTGCGAGTGCATTCGCGTGTGTGTGAGTGCATTCGTGTGAGTGTGAGTGCATGTGTGTGAGTGCATTCGTATGAGTGTGCATGTGAGTGTGAGTCCATTTGTGTGTGAGTGCATTCGTGTGTGAGTGTGCGTGTGTGAGTGCGTTCGTGTGAGTGCATGTGTGTATGTGACTGCATGCGTGTGTGTGAGTGCATTCGTGTGTGCGTGTTTGTGAGTGTCTGAGTGCATTCGTGTGTATATGAGTGCATTTGTGTGAGTGTGCATGTGTGTATGTGAGTGCGTTCGTGTGTGTGTGTATGAGTGCATTCGTGTGAGTGTGCATGTGTGTATGTGACTGCGTGCATGTGTGTGTGTGCATGTGTCTGAGGAGTGATCACTGAGCAGGCCAGCCTGTGATGGTGACACCCCAGAGCGCTCTCCTAGAGGTGGTGCCACGCAAGGCTGGCAAATGGTAGTTAGCAAAATACTTGACGAGTGAATGAACAATGAACAAATGAATGAAAATGAAGGTTTTGGGAGCCAGAGAAGGAGACAGTGACTTGTCCTGGTGGAGGGCATGGGCCCAGGGCAGGCAGGTAGGAACTGTTGCAAACAGGAGGAAAGTCAGGCTGGACCTGGAAGCAGGGGGAGGGGTTGCCTGGCAGAAAGTGGCAACAGGACTGGGTGCTCTGGGGAGGGTGCTCCTGCCCTGGGAGAAGCATGCTGGAGGTTCGGAGGCAGCTGGGCCCTGCAGGGGCTGCTGCCAGACTTGATGCCCTCTCAGGGCTTGGCAGGAGTCAGTTCACAACATGCAATGCTGTGATGGCAGCCACGTCACCTCTGCAGGGCAGGCAGGAGCACATGGGCAGCTGGTTGGGAGCACAGGCCAGAGGGCCACCCACCCAGCCCATCTCAGTGAGCCACAGGCCTGCCGCTGGCTGCTACCTGGAAGGGTCACACCAGCTTTTAAGCAAGAAGAGGAAACCCCAGCCTTTTAAAGTAGAATTAGGATGATTTCTATAGTTTCTGCCCGGCCAGCTGCTGGTCCAGTCTTCTGAGCCCTTGCAGTGTTGAGGGCAGCTGGGGCCCGGCAAGCAGGGCCTTTGCCATCCTCTCTGCAGGCAGGGTGGCCCTCCCTCCCCTCCTGGTTCTCAGGGTGGCCCTGGGATCTGGGCTTGTAGTGCATCCCTGCCACCTGCCCCGGTTGGGGAGGAAAGGCCCTGTGAGGCTGCCTTGGGGATTAAATTTTCAGGACTCAGCACTCACTCTGATTTCTGATTTCCTCCCTTCTCGAAATAGGGCTGATCAAATTAAGCCTCGTCAACACCGTGGTCTGGGTGCTGTGTGGGGAGTATGAGGAGCCCCTTCCCTCCTCAACTGCAGCTGGGATATTCTAGGGCAGGAAGCATCATGGGACAGGAGTGTGTGGGGTCCACCAGGGCCAATTGTCACCACCCCCAAACTCAGGCTTCTGGACCCACGGAGTTCACACAGGAAGACAAATGGGAGGAACCCCCGTCCCTGCAGGGTTGGATGGCCTGGCCTCTGGGCTCAGAGTGGCGGCTGCACTGGGGGCCTCTCGGTGCTGTCTCTGAGTCTGCACCTTGGGATTTACCCGTGGGAGAGGCAGGTCTGAGAGAAGATCCCACAGCCAGGCGTGAAGGACAGGAGAGACCAGAAACAAAGGTTGGGCAGGCCTGCTCCTCAGCCCCATGGGGGGCTGGAGCAGAGGGAAGGAGGACATGTGGTTTGGGGGCCCAGCAGCCTGAGGGGAAAGGGAGGTCCCTGACACTCACTGGGAGAGAGGGCTGAGGGTCTGGCAAGTTCCAGGGTCTTGAGCTGAGGGGGGCGTGGTGAGCATTGCATCACCTCTGCGGGGGGCTCTTCTCTGGGCAGATCCAGGGAGCCTGGCTGCTGCCCGCCCACATGGGGTTTCCCTGCCCCCTCAGGAGGCGCAGGGGCATGGGAGCGTCCTGGAGGATGGGACATCAGGGCATGGGAGCATCAAGAGGCCCCAGGCCTCACC